>NC_000004.12:90436532-90739562 GCF_000001405.40 Homo sapiens | reverse complement strand
GTCTAGCCCACAAGGACTGCAATTCCTGGGCAAGTCCTGGTGCTAAACTTGGAGCCCATGAAGCTAAGATGCACATGACCCAATGAGACACAAGCTGGGGCAGCCAAGGGAGTTTCTGCATCACCCCTCCCCCAACTCCAGGTAGCACAGCTTGCAGCTCTGGGAGAGACTTCTCTCTGCTTAAGGAGAGGAGGGGGAAAGTAAAGAGGAGTTTGTCTTCCAACTTGGGTATTGGAACAGCCACAATAGAATAGGGCAACAGGCAGAGACCTGAGGCCCCCCTTTCAGGTCCTAGCTCCTGGATGACAACTCCAGATATACCATGGGCCAAAGGGAACCCACTGCCCTAAAGGGAAGGACCCAGTCCTGGCAGGATGCATAACCTGCTGACTAAACAGCCCTTGGGCTCTAAATAATGAGCAGTAGCAGGCAGGCAGTACTTGCCACTTGCCTTGAGTGAGACTCAGAGCTATGCTGGCTTCAGGTGTGACCCAGCACATTCACAGCTGTGGTGGCTATGGGTAGAGTCTCCTGCTTAGAAGAAGAGAGGAAGGAAAAAATGGGACTTTTTACTGAAGCTTGTACCAGTTCCACCATAGTGGGGAAGAGCAACAAACAAGCTCCTGGGGTCCTGAATTCCAGGCACTGGCTCCTGGATGGCATTTCTGGACCTGCCCTGGGCCAGACAGGAGCCCACTTCTCTGAAAGGAGAGACTCAGGACAAGAGCATTCACCATAAGCTGATGAAAGAGCACAGGGCCTTGAGTGAACATCGACAGCAGCCAGGCATTGCTCACCCTAGGCCTGGGGTAGTGTTGGCTACAGGGAGAGAGAAACTCAGTGCCGTGAAGGGAAGAAAACAAGCCTGGCTGGATTCACCAAATGCTGATTGTAGAGCCTTTGGTCTTGAGTGAACACAGGTGATAGCCAGGCATTGGTCATAGTGGGCCTTGGGAGGTCACAGTGGGCCTTGGGAAGACACAGTGCTGTGTTGGCTTTGGGTTGAATGCAACTTGGTCCCAGTGAGGTGGCAACAGGGGTGCTTGTATCACACTTCCCCAGCTCTTGACAACCCAAAATAGTGGGAGAGACTATGTTTGGGGGAAAGTAAGAGAAAACAACAAGAATCTCTGTATGGTAAAGCAAAAAAAAATTCGCCTGACCCTAGCCAAGAACCAAGGCAGTACCCCTATGAGTCTGCAAGATGACAGCATTACTCAGCTTGGGGTGTCCTCTAATGCAGATATGGCTGCAGTGACCAAAGACTTAGATCACAGCACCAAAGTCCCTTTGAATACCTGGAAAGCCTTCCTAAGAAGGATGGGTTCAAAAACAAGCCCAGACTGCAAAGACTACAATAAATACCTAACTCTTCAATACCCAGACACCAGACCCTGATGAATATCCACAAGCATCAAGACCATCTAGGAAAACATGACCTCACCAAAGAAACTAAATATGGCTCCAGTGGCCAATGCTGAAGAGAAACAGAGATATGTGATCTTTCAAACAGAGAATTCAAAATAGTTATTTTGTGGAAACTCAATGAAATTCAAGATAACAAAGGGAAAGGAATCAGAACCTATCACATAAATTTAACAAATAGATGGAAATAATTAAAAAGAATCAAGCAGAAATTCTAGAGCTGAAAAATACAATTGAAATACTGAAGAACAGATCAGAGTCTCAGAAGAACTGATCAAGGAGAATAAAAAAGTAATAAGCCTGAAGACAGGCTATTTGAAAATACATAGTCAGGGGAGATAAAAAGTAAAAAGAATGAAGCACACCTACAAAATCTAGAAAATAGTCTAAATGGGGCAAATCTAAGCATTATTGGCCTTAAAGAAGAAGTAGAGAGACAAATTAAGGTATGGACAATAACATAGTACTTCCCAAACCTAGACAAAGATATAAATATTTAAGTACCTAAAATTTATAGAACACCAAGCAGGTTTAACCCAAAGAAGACTATCTCAAGACATTTAATAATTAAACTAAAAAAGGACAAGGATAAAGAAAGGATCCTAAAAAGCAGCAAGAAGAAAGGAACAACATACAATGGAGCTCCTATTCATATGGCAGCAGCCTTTTCAGTGGAAACCTTACAGGCCAGGAAATAATGGCATTACATATTTAGAGTGCTGAAGGAATAAAACCTATATCCTAGAATAGTTTATCCAGCAAAGATATCCTCATATATAAAGGAGAAATAAAGATGTTCTCAGTCAAACAAAAGACGAGGGATTTTGTTAACACCAAACCTGTCCTACAAGAAATGCTAAAGAAAGAGAATTCTTCAATCTGAAAGAAAAGGATGTTAATGAGCAATAAGAAATCACTTGAAGTTACAAAACTCACTGGCAATAGTAAGTACACAGAAAACCACAGAATATTATAACACCGTAACTATGGTACATAAACTCATAACTTGGGTAGAAAAACTAAAAGATGAATGTAACAAAAATAATAGCTAGAACAACTTTTCAAGACATAGTTAGTATAAGATATAAATGCAAACAGTAAAAAGTTAAAAAGTTGGAGGATGAAGTTAAAGTGTAGGGTTTTTAATAGTTTTCTCTGTACTTGTTTGTTTGTTCATGCAATCCATGTTGTCATTGCATTTTAAACCTATTTTTTAAAAAAATGGGTTATAAGTTGTTACTTGCAAATCTCATGATAACCTCATATCAAAAAACCCACAGCAGATAAAGAAAAATAAAAAGCAAGAAATCAGAACATACCACCAGAGAAAATTACCTTCACACAAAAGAAAATAGCAAGGGAGGAAAGAAGGAAAAAACAACCAGAAAACAAAATAGGAGTAAGTAGGAGTAAGTCCTTACTTATTAATAATATCATTGAATGTAAATGAAATAAACTCTCCAATTGAAAGTCATAGAGTGGCTGAATGGATAAAAAAAATGACCTAATAATCTGTTTCCTACAAGAAACACATTTCACCTGTAAAAACAAATATAGACTGAAAATAAAGGGATGGAAAAAGATATTCCTTGCAAATGGAAACAAGAGCAGGACTAGCTATACTTATATCAGAAAAGGTAGATTTCAAGACAAAAAATATAGAAAGACACAAAGAAGGTCATTATATAATGATAAAGAGGTCAATTCAGCAAGAGGATACAATATTGTAAATATATACACACCCAACACAAGAGCACCCAGATTTATAAAGTAAATATTATTAGAGCTAAAGAGAGAGATTGACTCCAATACAATAATACTTGGGGACTTCAACACCCCACATTCAGCATTGGACAGATCATCCAGACAGAAAATCAACAAAGAAACATTGGACTTAATCTGGACAACAGGCCAAATGGACCTAACAGATATTTACAGAACATTTTTCATCCAAAGGCTTCAGAATACACATTATTCTCCTCAGCACATGAATAACTCTCAAGGATAGACCATATGTTAGGCCACAGAACAAGTCTTACAATTTTGTTTAAATGAGATTATATCAATTATCTTCTTTGACCACAATAGAATAAAATGAAAAATCAACAACACAATGAATTTTGGAAACTGTACAAATTCATGGAATTAAACAATATGCTTCTGAGTGATCAGTGGCTCAATGATTAAAATAAGAAAAAAATTTAAAAATTGCTTGAAACCAATGAACATGAAAACACAACATACCCAAACCTATGAGCTATAGTGAAAGCATTTCTAAGAGGGAAATTTATAGTTATAAGCACCTATTTCAAAAAAGTAGAAACACTTCAAATAAACAACCTAACAATGCATTTTAAAGAACTAGAAAAGAACAATCAAAACCAAAATTAGTAAAATAAATAATACAGATCAATAAACCTTTAGCCAGACTAAGAAAACAGAGAGAAAGCCCATACCAATAAAATCAGAGATGAAAAAGGAGACATTATAACTGATACTACATAAATTTAAAGTTACCATGAGCAACTATGTGCCAATAAATTAGAAAATGTAGAAGAAATGGATAAATTTTGAGACACATAAAATCTATCAAGACTGAACCATGAAGAAATGTAAAATCTGAACAGACCAATAATAAGTAATGAAGTTGAAGCTGTAATAAAACATCTCCAAGCAAAGAAAAGCCCAGGACCCAGTGGCTTCACTGCTGAATTTTAGCAAACATTTGAAGAACTAGTATCAATCCTCCTCAAGCTATTCTGAAAAGTGGAAGAGGAGAAAATACTTCCAAAGTCATTCTATGAGGCCAATATTACCTTGATACCAAAACTAAACAAAGACCCATCCAAAACAGAAAACTACAGGACAATATCCCTCATGAACATTGATGCAAATATACTCAACAACACACTAGCAAACTGCATTCAACAACCCATTAAAAAGATCATTCGTCATGACCAGGTAGAATTCATTCTACAGATACAAGCCTGGTTTAACATACAAAAATCAATTAATATGACATGCCATGTCAACAGAATGAAGGGCAATAAACATATAATTATTTTAATAGATGCTGAAAAAGCATTTGATAAAATTCCACACTCTTTCATGATAAAAACCCTAAAAAACTGAGTATAGAAGAAACATACCTCAAAACAATAAAAGCCATATAAGCCATATATGACAGACCCACAGCTTATGCTAAATGGGGAAAATCTGAAAGTCTTTCGTCTAAGATTTGGAACAAAACAAGGATGCCCTTTCACCACTGTTATTCAATATAGTGCTGGAAGTCCTAGCTAGAGCAATCAGAAAAGGGAAAGAAATAAAAGCCATCCAAACTGGAAAGGAAGAAACCACATTATACTTGTTTGCAGGTCATATGACCTTATATGTGGAAAAACCTAAAGACTCCACCAAAAAAATTATTAGAATTGAAAAACAAATTCAGTAAAGTTGCAGGATACAATATCAACATACAAAAATCATTAACATTTCTATATCCCAACGGAATCTATTTGAAAATTGTGAAAATTGCAATATCAAGAAAGTAATCCAATTTACAATAGCTATAAACAAAAATAAATACCTAGGAGTTAACCAAATAAATGAAAGCTCTCTACAATGAAAACCATAAAACACTGATAAAATAAATTGAAGAGGATACAAAAATGAAAAGATATTCTAGATTCATAAATTGGAAGAATCAATATTGTTAAAATGTCCATACTATCCAAAGAAATCTACAGATTAGGGAGGCCAAGGCGGGCAGATCACGAGGTCAGGAGATCGAGACCATCCTGGCTAACGCAGTGAAACCCCGTCTCTACTAAAAATACAAAAAATTAGCCGGGCGTGGTGGTGGGAGCCTGTAGTCCCAGCTACTTGAGAGGCAGAGGCAGGAGAATGGCAAGAACCCAGGAGGCAGAGCTTGCAGTGACCGGAGATTGCACCACTTCACTCCAGCCTGGGCGACAAAGCGAGATTCCATCTCAAAATAAATAAATTAATTAATTAAATTAAATTAATAAAAATAAAAATAAAAATAGCAATCTATAGATTAAATTGACGTTTTTCACAAAAATATTAAAAACAATCCTAAAATTTATAAATTTGGAATCACAAAAGACCCAGAATAGCCAAAGCTATCCTGAGCAAAAAGAACAAAATTGGAGGAATCACATTACCTGACTTGAAATCATATTACAGAGCTATAGTACACAAGACAGCAGGGTACTAGCATAAAAACAGACACACAGACCAATGGGACAGAATAGAGAACCCAGAAACAAATCTATACATATACAGAAAACTCATTTTTGACAAAAGTGCCTAGACATGCATCGGGGAAAGGAAAATCTCTTTAATAAATGATGCCAGAAAACCTAGATATCCATATGCAGAAGAATGAAACTAGACCCCTATCTCTGATCATATACAAAATATCAAGTCAAAATGGATTAGAGACTTAAATATAAGACGTAACTATCAAATTACTAAAAGAAAACACTAGGGAAACTCTCCAGGACCATGGAGTAGACAAGGATTTCTTAATATCCCTAAACCACAGTCAACCAAAGCAAAATTGGATAGATGGGATCATATCAAGTTAAAAAGCTTTTGCACAACAAAGGAAACAATAAAGTGAAGAGAAACTCACAGAACGGGAGAAAATGTTTGAAAACCACCCACTGAACAAGGGATTAACATAAGAATATATAAGGAGCTCAAACAACTCTATAGGACAAAAAATTAACAATGCAATTTAAAAATGGCCAAAACATCTGAATAGACATTTATCTAAAGAATATATACAAATGGGAAACACATATATCAAAAGGTGCTCAACATCACTAATCATCAGAGAAATGCAAATCAAAACTACAAAGAGATATCATCTCATCCTTGTTAAAATGATGTTTATCCAAAAGGCAGGCAAAATAACAAATGCTTTGGAGGATGTGAAGAGAAGGGAACCTTCATACAATGTTGGTGGGAATGTAAATTTGTACAATTACTATGCAGTACAACTTGGAGGTTCCTCACGAAACTAAAAATAGATGTACCATTTGATCCAGCAATCCCACTGCTAGATATATTCCCAAAAGAAGGGAAATTAGTGTATTGAAGAGATATCTGCACTCCCATGTTTACTGTAGCACTATTCGTAGCAGTCAAGATTTGCAAATAATCCAAGTGACTATCAACAGATGAATGGATTAAGAAAATGTGATACATATACACAATGAACACTATTCAGCCATAAAAAAGAATTAGATGCTATCATTTGTAACAACAGGGATGGAGCTGGAAGTCATTATGGTAAGTGAAATATGCCAAGGAAAGTAAGAAAATTACACATGTTCTTATTTATGGGAGCTAAATATTACAATAATTAAACTGATGGAGATAGAGAACAAATTAATATATAGTGCTTAGAAAGGCCCACTTGCAAGATTAGCCACTGGTTGGTATCTAAGAACTTGACTGACTGGTAACCAGAGTCCTACATACATATAAAGATTTCCATAAATGATAAGATTGGCTCACTGTCCCTAAGTAGTTTGTACAAACAATATTTGTACAATAATGTTTATGTTAAATACCTGATTTCTTCTGGGAGTTTAGAATATGGATATACACTAGGTACAGGGTTCCTACATGATAAGCCCCCAGTAAAATCCTTTGGTGCTGAGTTGCTACTGGCCTTTACTGGGCAGAAATATCACATACATGTCCTCTGTTCACATTGCTGGTAGAGGCGAGTGTGATCTCTGTTGAATTCTGTGTCTTCTTACAAATCTCTGAATGTAGGGGTAGTCTTAGGGACTGTCGACACACTCTGGAACTGCTAAATCAATAGAACAATGTGGAGGTGAAGCTGTGTATTTCTGGTCTAGTCCTAATTAGACTGACATGTTTCCCTTTCTTTTCCTGTGGAACATTCACCCTAGGGGAAGCCAACTATCATATAACAAGTCTAATTATCCAAAACCAGCATGTTGTGAGAAAGCTCAAGCTAGTCCATGGAGAGGCTGAGGAGAGAAAGAGGGAGGCAGAAGTAGAATAGAGCAGTGAGAGAGAGAGAGAGAGAGAGAGAGAGAGAGAGAAATCCCAATAGGTACAGTGTTTTCAGTGCAACACCAGACTTGTGAATAAAGGAATTATCCTGGGAGTCTACCTCACCTGAGCCTTCAGATGACCCCATTCTCAACCTCAGTCTGACTGTACCCACTTTAAAACCTCACACAAGAACTGCCCAGATGAGTCTAGTCGACCTACAGAATCATAAACATCAATAATAAATTATTATTTTAGACTGACAGGTTTTGAGATGGTTTATTACTTGGAATTATATGAGTGAAACTATCATTTTGTATTACATCAATCAAAAATAATTGCTTTAAATATACATAGTATAAATAATAGAACCCTCTTAAAATTTATTCCCATTAGAGAACCACAATGATGCCATGTTTATTTAAAATGATTTTTATAAAATACATTGGTTCCTCAAATATATACCTATTGTATGGTTTATATTCAAAATTCATCAGCTATCCCTCAAAGAATTTTATTTTTACCTGCTTATTTCTTCACCTATGTATTAATGAATCATATTTCTAAACCATAATTATTGATTTATCAGCATCCACCACAAATTATGTTTAGTTTTACCTATGTGCTTTCAGTTATCTGGCAGATAAAATATATTACCAGAAATTAGTATTACTTGTAGGATTGAATATTATCCCCTGCAAAACCAACATCGTCTGCCATTTCACAATTACTGCCTCACTACTAACACAATTAAGCCAACCAAACAAATAAGATTTTACTAATCTCCGTATCATGCTATCTATTTGTAACATCAGAAAGTTACCTAAAGGGTAAAAATAGGAAAACATTAAAAAATTAGTATCAGAAACTATCTTTGATTTTGTTCTTTTAGGATATTCTACATACAATATATTAACAAATCCTGCTGACCCCACATTCAAAATGTACTCAATATTCAATCAATTGTTATCCCCTCAACTTTTACCACTCCAGTTTAAGCCATCATAATCTTTCAACTATAGGAGCCTTGACTCAGTAATGCCTATATCTACACAGAAACCAAAGCAATAGTTTAACAATAGTCTGATTATGTCATTCTTTTTTTCAACAAACACTCTAATGGCTTTTCATCATATGTGAAATAAGATCTTAAGTCTTTATCATGACATACTAGACCTTTTATGATAAGATTTCTCTGTGACCTAAACTTGTATTACTTGTCTCATCATTCATTCTACTCCAAACACAATGTTTTGCCATTCCTGATAAGACCGAGTATTCTCTTGCTTTTGCAGTTGTTATTCTCAGGTTTCTTCCCATAAAAACATGAGTGGCTTTCTCCCTTTCTTCATTATGGTCTCTACTAAAATGTTCCATAATCAAAGTGGTCTTCCTTAGCCATCCTTTTTGAAACACCAACACACTCCAGTGCCACTTTCTATCCTTCATATTGCGCTTTACTTTTCATCATAACATTTATCACCCTACCTGACATTTTATATATTTATTTGCTGGTTGTCTATTTCTTCTCCCAAGAACCCAAACACCATTAATGCAGGGATTTAGTTCGTGTTGTTGACATCGACATACCAATGCCTTAGAATATTACTAAGAACATGGTAGGTACTTGACAAATTGATTCATCAACAAATCCTTGAATGCATAGATGGCTTAGTAAAAAATGACCAGAAATGCAGAAATATACCATAATGGGCTCTTCCAGGGATACATTAAAAAAGCGATTTCTAATACTAAGAGAGACCATTACATTCAATAAATGAAAAGGAACAATAAAAACTCTCTCATACACACACAAAAATGAGTCTATGCAGGATACACAACAGATGATGTTGTGAAGGTCATGCCACAATTTGGCTTCTGTCTTTCAGAGTTTCCAAATGTATTCTTTTACATAATGATATATTTAGATGAAATAAATCGAAACTACTCACTATGTTGATGTTATAATATATAAACAAGTAAAACAGCAGCAGCACTTTGTTCACAATGGGTGTTTCCCCAGTATTCTAAAGTGGTTAAATAATATTCCTTCACTGGAAGGTATGCTTTTAGGAGGTTACCAGGTTACGTTACTGTGGTGGTTTGGATAACAAAAGAAAAAGTTGCTATGGTGTATGCCTGATAAAAAGATACTATATGTTCTTTTGTTATTTTATTTTATTTTATTTTTATTTATTTTTTGAGATGGAGTCTCGGTCTGTAGCCCAGGCTGGAGTGCAGTGGTGCTATCTCCGCTCACTGCAAGCTCCACCTCCTGGGTTCACGCCATTCTCCTGCCTCAGCCTCCCCAGTAGCTGGGACTACAGGAGCCCACAACCACGCCAGGCTAATTTTTTTGTATTTTTAGTAGAGACGGGATTTCACCCTGTTAGCCAGAATGGTCTCGATCCCCTGACCTTGTGATCCAACCGCCTCAGCCTCCCAAAGTGCTGGGATTACAGGCGTGAGCCACTGCGCCCGGCCAATATATATATGTTCTTATTGTTACAGAAACTATTATGTATTTTTTCCAAGTAGTGTTTCATTATATTTACCAGTTTTCCCTCAAGACAAATTCATTATATTTACTCCTTCTCAAAATTAATAAACATTTCCATTAATCATTTTTCATAAGAGGAATCTGATATATGAGCTCAACTGAATACTCAAGCGTATAAAATAAATAGCATGACTTGTAGGAATAAATGTTAAACTTGAATCTTCATCAAAGTAAATAATTTATGTTTAAAATATATTTCTTTCATATTTGAAAATAAAGTAGTAGGAGTTCAGTGGCAAAATTTCTGCCCTACAGTATTTATAAGACTTTCTTGCATTGAACTTGGAGATCTTGCATCTATAAAAATAATAATCAACAGTTACATATGGGTTACTATGTGCTATTGTAGACACTTTTCATTTATTAACTTGTTTAACCTTATAAGAACCTAATGAAGAAGTAGTTGCTGTTGTCATTTTATAAATAAGATATTTGGACACAAAATAACTGGCTCAAGGTCTCACATAGCTAGAGAGTGGCAAAACTGGGGTTTGATCCTCCCAGACAGCCTCCTAATTAGACTGCATTGCTTCTAATGCCCCCAATTCTCTTTTCTGCTTTATTAAAAATAAACATTGTTTTAAAAATAGAAATAAGTGGTCATTATAGAAACTACAGAAAATTTTTCTTAAAATAGTGTGATCCATCCCCAGAGTTGAAGATTGATAATTCTATATTTACTGCATCTTTTTTTCTACACACTTCATTTTATACAATAGGGAGCAAACTGTGTGTTACTACACATTACTAATTCCTGAATCCAGGCTCTATGGTCACGTAAAGTTAAGCATCATTTTTATTGCTTAACATACCAGTATTTCATGGTAGAATATATGTTTTTAAATAATAGGGAGGGGGTCTCCCTATATTGCTAAGGTTGGGCTCAAATTCCTGAGCTCAAGCGAACCTCCTGCCTCAGCTTCCCAAAGTGCTGGAATTAGAGGGGTGAGCCACTACACCCAGCCTACAAAAAAATTTTTTGAAACAATTTATTTATCTACTTCCTCCCTTCTATCCCCTGCTTAAGCAAAGTGGCTCTGTGCATATTAAAGTTAAGTTCATGTCACGGCAGAAGAATCTTCAGACACAATTCTATTCCTAAAAAGTACATCAAAGAGTTTTTTCTTGTTCTTATTCTTGATATTGTTTTATCAGTGCCCTGGCTGATTTAAGGAGAGAAGAAACATCTCTGAGAGAAGCTTGGAGTTTCTTTAGACTAAAGAGAAATAACTAGGGATGAGGAAAAGAAGTCAGAGAACCTTGGATTTCATAAGAAGAAGAGACCTAGGAAAGAACCAAATGCCACACTGTCAGTTCCTTGGGAATGTGGCCATACCTTGGAGAGGGTGGTGCCATTGTGCATTCCAGGTACTGTGACAATCCCTCTAGGCATTCCAGGAATGCAAACATCCCAGGGAAGCAGTAGTCAATGGGCCAAGAAATGCAATGAATTAGGTTTGTTTTAAATTTTGATCAAGGATTGGTGAATGGAGGGTATTCCTCAATGCCTTTGTGTACTTTTGAAGCTACAAAAGTCTTCAGAAGTTCAAAGAACAATAGAATAGAAGTTTTTTTTTCCTGCTGAATTTATCACAGGATAAATATAATACAGTACAGTAGGATAATATGATTTCCTAACATATCTAATCAAAAAATATTACTTAAGTAGGAAAAGAGACTAAAATGTAGCCATCATGCTTCATTGAAGTACAAATAAATTTTAAAACTGATGAACATTACTAGCAAAAAGAACATGGCTCATGATAAATTGTACTTTTATGGAGGGTCAGGAGCAACGAGCCAGCTTTAGCTTCAAGAGTGTTAGTTCCAGGAATGGACTGAGGCTGCTAATAACTGCATATGTACAAAACATTGAAAGGGTCATCCTACTAAAGAACAGTGAAATGTAGTGGCTTGAAGCCATCTTCAGTGTGGAGCATTTTACCAAGGCTAACAAAGGGAGATGTCAGGCAGATGAGATAGGAAGTGATTAGATGTTTGCAAGAAATCAGGGAGAATGCCAGAGGGAAAAGATAGAAAAGGATAGAATGAGCACATTAAAATTAACAACATCAATTTTGTTCAGGTTTAGTCCTCAGAAAACTATAAAAAACTTAATGGCTAAGCAATCCACTGTCTTTTATCAGAGCAATGTTTCACTTTAATGATCTTGAACTTTTATGATTCTGTTGTTGATGTTTGATAACATTTTGTTCCTACCTATGCAAAATTGGTTATCCTTTGGCTCTTCTATAATGATGCAGTGGCATGTGTCAGACCATATGTGTGTACAGTTGATATAATGCTGAATATTCTATTAAAAAACAACAAAAACTAGAGGTTATACATTTGCCTTTTGTTTCCAAATAGATGCCCATAACAATAGTTTATAAAGGTAAAAGAATCTGACAGTTCTTATAAAAGAAACTTTTTGAACCAAGCATCCTAGAAACTCCTCAGTATCAAGAGGCTGCCCAGGAAATCTGGAGTTTATTATGTGTAGTATATGTGGAAGATTGTGAATTATACACTATCTTCTATGAAAGAATACAGTCAAATGCATTCATCACCTGGCATGAATATAGTAGGAATGGTGATGACTGTGGTGACCTGGAGTTTATGTACCCTGTCTAGATGGAGAAAGCCTTCTCATCTCTTATCAAGTAGTTCTACTTACAACGAGATCCACAAAGTTTCCAGATTTTTCAATTGTTTAAGACAAAGTTGGATGAATTTTTGTGTGAAATGTCCTCAGTTTTGAAAGGCTAGCTACACCAATCAAACCACTCTAGCAATGGTTTTTAAACAGTAAATTTGAGATTAGCAGGAACTGAACCATAGTGTGGGGGAATAGAGAAGTGAGTATGTATGTGGGGCTTAGACTATCTTTCAGGGCAGATCGTTTTTAATTAATTGAAAGAATGGGCTCCAATACTAACAAAGTTGAAAAATGCTGCCATATTGGAAAAAATAAACATTTGATCCCAAACAAGACTGAACTGCCATTTTAAATTCATGTATCTCTAAAGTTTAACCTACCTTGGGATAGTCCCTAGGATGCCATCTTTTTTTCCATACTTAATTTAATATATCTTACTATGGTACATTCCTAACAATAGCCAATTTCTTATCTAACATTCAAGAATAAAGGCATGGGTATTAGTGGGAAAGTATTTGTATTTATTTTTTATAAAAATAATTTACCATTTGTCTTTATTTCAAATGATGTGGTTGAATTCAACTTAATCTGAATGTCATTCTAAAGGTAATGCTTAAAAAAAAGTATGCACCTTGATAAACATACCAGCCAAAACAAGGTATCTTCCTCCAACTGTTCTGAGTGCTTCCAAAACTGACTAAGAAAGTGGAGTAAATACATTTCTTCTAGTAATCTAATTACTTCCCAGAAGAAAAAGGAAAATCAAATCCCTCAATCACCCACCAATATTAGAAGAAGCTTTGCTCTTCTAATGTTAGGGTGGATTGTGATGGGGTTGAGTGCTGAAATCACTGTATCTTAGAAAAGTAAGCTAAGAGGTTAAGAGGATTAATCTAATACTAACATGAAATATCATGTCACATTCATGGGGAATAGGTGAAAAAGACAACCTTTTATTTTCTAGTTACCTAGCTATTCAGATATCATAATTTTAATCAAAGTTTTATACATCTGAATTATAATATTAGACTTTTTCAGAATGTGGTTATAAGAAAACTTAAATGTCTTCTATTTGTTATATAATTCTCAACATATCCTTGGAATTACAATGCTTTATACTGTTAAGATTCTGTTCAAAATAGTTCTGTATATTTTGTGTTTATGTAACATTAAGTATTATATTACTCATTTACACAATGACAATTTATAAGCTAAAAATGAAAGAAGCAGATAAAGTTTTATTTCATAATTTTGATTTTTAAGTTTAGATACTTATAAACACTAGTGGGATAATTTTATAGGTGATTAAATATTTTGAAAAGATATAGGCAATATTCCTTTCACAAAAGGAGTAAATTAAAAGTCACTATAACTATGTTGGCCATCAAAAGACAATACTAAATATTATAAGCACTTGAAAGTTTTAATTTCTTATAGAACCATTTACATTTACCCCAAAACTATTGATCTCTCAGAACCAGTTAGAGAAACTAATTATATTTATATTAGCTTTATGTCAGCAGATTCTGAAATATGTCTAACCTTTTTTAACCTCTGTTAAAAAATACATTAATTTTCAAAGACTGTAATCATTGTCAAAATATTAAAAAGAAAAAATGGTTTCTGGCGAAGTTTTGAGAATTCAATTAAAATCTTGTTAAAGATATGCTTCTTCAGTAAATTTGTTCCATATACCATAAAACGGTAACATCAAACTTTGTAGCATTAGTATTATTTTCTCATTTATCTGTATAATAATAAAGAAAATGTTTCAATAAATAATGTAATCAGAATATCATTCAGTATTTAACAATTAGCAGGTATAGAAAGGGCCTTCTAACAAATATTTGACTCTCATTAAGCAAAAAAGTGTCCATAATTAGAAAACTAAATACTCTCATTTGAATTCATAGCCTTCTATAATTATCATTTCAACAAGACAGCAATATTGAATATATGAAAATCCATGCCAGCAACTGTACTAGGTATAAGCAATATAAAATTGAATAAGATACATTCCTTATATGAAAAATAAAAAACTCTCATAATAATTGTATGTTAAAATATTGCAGTCATAAAAGTGATAATCTTAAAATGTGCACGTCTTTAAACCAAACTATACTGAAATCAGTGCACTTAAGTACATCATCCCAACGTTTTAAGTTTTTTTCCTCAGGCTCTTAAGAATTGTTTTTATTTATAATAATCCTAATAATATCTAAATACCCCAGTACAAACATAAAATAGTTGATCTACAAGCTTTGGCTTAAATAGAAACATCTAATCTTAAGTGGCAAAACAAGACTTCGTATTTGTTATGTATATAGCTTCCCAAAGTGAAAAAAATGCCACCAGTCATACCACATACTTATTTGCATATTTACTCCAATATTTATTAAATACAATATGTTTGGTGGAATGATTCCATATTTCAACTCTTGATTTTGACTCTTATTTTAAAAGGATTACATCATTAATTATTGGTAACCTAGCATTGCTAATGAAAATTTAACCACTAGATGAGGGCTGAATGTTTCCTTTTTCCCCTATGACTTATATTAATATAATTACTATAAACAAAATATTTAAAACCTCTAATTCATGTGAATCAACCTATTACAATAAAACTCCACCATTTACATGTAAGACAAACAATTGTCCCATAAAGTATTAATTATCATTCAAACCTTTACCTTTAGTTAGCAATAGAATGACAATGGAACACACAAAAAAACGATTTTAAGATTTGAAATCAGACCCTTGAAGATTAAAGCAGTTCACTTCACCATCTACACATAAACTATTTTAAACTATTTATTAACTATCCTAATATTTTTATAAATAATGCTTTCTTGTTTGTTTTTTACCTTGAAAGGCACTGGCTCTTCAGTAAGAGGACTAACAGGAAGTGACGTGGTACTGCTTGCTGGACTCATGTCTGCACTCTGCAAGGACAGTGAAATTGAATTTAATTAGGATTGTTTTGTAGTCATTTTGACTATTCATAATTTAGAAAAATAAATAAATCATTAAAATAAACAAATAATAAGTAAAATATGAATGTAAAAAATCAGATTTAACGTAGATTTAATCATAATTATATAATAAATCATTCCTTATACAGAAATGATTATCTGGGAAATTAGTCAAATTATCACTCTCCATGTATATTTTAAGTGCATTTTATCAAATATAATGGCCATTTTTTGTGTTAGGGTGGTATTTATTATCATCATTGCTTAATTTATATTTTACCTTTTTTAAATTAAACTGTATCTGTAATAATTCATTATGTTGCTATTTCAATGTATTTCAGACTGATTTTCAAACGTGTATTACAGTTTTTCTTCTATAAAGATTTAAATCATTGCAACCATTTTTTTCATTATGTAAACCAATCTGCCATAATATACAATTACAAACTGAAAAAATATTAAATTTTTTAAATTCCTAAATTCATAGCCCCTGACATTTTACCTTTCTTTTATTCTGCTAAACAAAAATTTAAGGATAAAAGATTTACACAAATGTAAGAGAATGCCTGGAATGTTGCTAATGGCTGTTTATCTAGTCTTTTAAAAATAAAATCAATTAAAACGTCTTTAATGAGAGATTAGCCTAAGAAAGATATATCAGTTAGAAGTTCATCATTAATTTACTTTTCTAAAAGCAAGAAAAATATACTAATAGTAGGTAGCAACAGAAGTCATTTTATTATATTCTTAACACAGTCTCTCAGAGGGATTCTCCCATATGCAAATAAAACAAAAGAAAACATTGAAAAGAATATATACCTACATTTTCAGCTTGGTTTCTAAATATATGTGCAAACACACAGAAATTTTGCAGTGAAGATTAAAACCAAAGAATGAATTCACCTCAAGTGAGATAAGGATATAAGTAGGCAAGTTTGACTCACTTAAGTTTCAACAAAAGAACGCATTCAAAGCATAGGTGCTACAACCGCTACTTATTCTTAGAGACTTTCTATTCAAGGATTATTTTCAATTCACTGTATTCAAATGTACAATAAACTGGACATATTTTAAATATCCATTAAGTTGGGACTACTTATGACTCCCTAGTCCAGAAACCAAGGATAAGAACTATAAACACAGGAACCAAGATATTCAGCATAATGTTAATTTAACACATACCACACCTATTTTGGAAATTGATATAAGGCAGTGCATTGAGTAAAAATATCTAAAGAAGGAAATTAGGTAAAAATTGAACAATAATCTACTAAAGGAAGTAGGAAAATACATGCACCAGATAATTGAAGTGAGTTAGTTATTGACTTTAATTTCAAAATTTATCCGGAGTTCTATGCCATTTATTTGATCAATCCAGGAAATATTATGAATTGCTGACTCTCGCTCTCTGATTATATGACATAATAGAGAAACAAGGCTGGTATTGCTAACTAATTTACCTCAGGATGTTAACGTAAGACATGAATGAAGCTTTATGCTGAAAAACACAGAAAAAAAGACTCTTGAGCTAAATCTCTTAAAGTTGGATTTCTCACAAGAATTTAAGCAAGTGACAGAACACAGTTCGTTCATAGTTGAATTATTCGATATTTACCTGTAGTATGGACAGCCTGCATAGCTTATTAAAGTATCATACCCTCAAAAACTATATATTTAGGAGACATAGATGACATTCATTTGTAAAAATTGAAAAGCCTGGATCACAGTCTTTCCAATGAAGGTTTAATTTTTATAAGAACATGAGGAGTGCAAAGTCAAGGTTCATGGTAAACTTTAAAGATTGAGGTCTCCCACAACTTTCCAGAAATTAACATATAAATCAAAGGGTAGTAAAAAGCAGACTCCAAATTTTACATTATGTAACACTGATTCTTTGAATGTCATTCTAAGAGAAAATTGTGTTCTAGCTATAATTTTCAAATCAATCTTAAAGTGTGACACCTTAATTTTACTGTTCTGAGGAAATATTGAGATAAATATTTTAAAAAAACAAATCAATCTCGTATGACAACAGCTGATAAACTGTACTTAGTTATCAAGTTGAGAAATACATATTTTCATGTTTATCCTATTGTTTTCCCATTTGCTTTTCAGTGATCTGTAATTTAGGTATCATTCCAATTTGCTTATTCTTTTAGATCAAATAGTATCGTAAACCTTTTGAAGATAAGTCTTATCCATATTTCATATTTTAATCCATTTACTCTTTCATTCAACAATAGCAATACTGATACAATTTAATATCTAAATAAAATACTTAAGTTACATTTGATGTTTTTAAAAGCTAATGGTTTTTGTTAATCCACAACTTTCTTCATAAAATGTTCTGTCAGAATTATGGCTTCATCTGCTTTTGATATATTTCAGAGATTTTACAAGTGATTGGTTCATAATAATGTGAAAGTGAATCCTATGGGAACATAGAAGAGCTATTTTCTAAAAGCAGCAAATATCTCAACAGAATAAATCTCCTTAATTCTCATGAATTTTTTTTTAATCCATTGGAGACACAATAGACATTCCTGTCATAAGAAGCCTATTCTAACAAGTGTTCTTAACCTGGTTTTTGGTTGTAAGTCCAACAGACAAACTGCTTCTTTCAAACACTAGCACAGATAAATAATATGAACCTAACATTTTACCTACCATTAAAATGTTATTTTGCACAAATTGGTCACCTCTCCCTTTCTATTTCTATTTAATGTAGACTATGTTCTCTTTCATTTTTCTCCTAAGTGTCATCCTTAGGTTCAATAATAAAATCTAGACAAGAATTTACTGAGCATATTATAAATATTCTGGTTAATATCACCTTCTTTTTATGAATATTGCTCTCTAGAATCCTTTCTACTTGCCTAATTATTAAAAAACTCTTTCATTTCTTTATTGCTGTTGTTTTTAGAAGACAATTTCCTTAATTGACAAGCGATTTCATTCCTCACTCAATATTCTGTCACTAAAAAAGCAGAGAAATTGAAGAATAAGAGGCACTATTAATAATCAGAAAATAAAGTTGATATTTTGAGTGTTACATCTTCTCATAACTGCTACTATTATATTTATTATTGATAAATACAAACATGTACTCATTTTAATAGCATTGGGAAACATAGTATTATCTTCTTCATTTTGATATGAAGAAAGGAAGAACTCTCAATTGATTCACAAACTATTTGTCACTTAGTACTGTCAATGTTCTGTATATACAATTTCCAAGTCAGCCGTGTGTATCTAACAATATAAAATTTAGGTTACCCTCTTTGGATCCCCTCCCTTTGTATGGGAGCTCCGTTTTCACTCTATTAAATCTTGCAAATGCAAAAACAAACAAACAAAATATAAAATTTAAAATTTAAATTTATTTTTGAAATACAGTTAACTGATTCATAAGTTAGGGAGTTAATTTTTAATCCATGAAAATGAAAGAATCTTTTACAAGTATTATAAATATTTTATTGTATAAGTCTTATGTTTTTCTTCTGATTCTGTGGAAAATGTGGTAATTTTATTAAATAAAATATCCTTACTAACACCCAGTGCCTAGGTCTTGTGTTTTTTTTTAATTTTTTTTTTCTAAAAAACAAACCAGGGCTCCTAGGAGAAATGGCTAATTCCAAGTCCAGAATGGGACAAGAAATTTACAAGAGGCACAAGATGATTCTGGAGCATCCTGTGGTACCATAAAGCAAGGAAGTACTCAAAAAACAAAAGAACAGGGGTATGCCAAAGAGACAAAGAACAAAGAACTCAACACGAAAGAACTCCCAAATGCCAAAGCTGGAACAATTCGAACAACAACATAAAAAACATACTACAGAGTATAACTCAAAGTATTAAAAGAATGAGCAAATAAATCGGGAGAAGAGACCCATTTTTTTCAGAAAAATTCCAAATCAACAAATAAATAGACGAGACAAATCCTTTTTCAGAAGAATTCCAAATAATTCATTTAGCTAGTTCTCTTCAAGAGATGAAACTTAACACCCTATTCCCACCCTCAGGCTACACTGAATGACTTTCTTCCAAAGTGTAATGTATGAAAAAAGGAAAATGTAACTTTACAGTGGAGAAACCCAGCACACACTACCTCAACCAAGTGATCAAGGGTAGCATTATGTAGACAGCATGAACGTTGTATAATGTGAAGAGAGGGATCCTTCACATCTATGGTCTTCTACCCTCAAACCAATGGCCACAGTCTAATCATGAGAAAAATATCAGACAAATCTAAACTGAGGAATGTTCTGCAAAAACCTAATCAGTGCTTAACAAGAAAAGTGTGAGAAACTTTCACTGAGAAAGCATGGCGAACAACAATAATAAAGCAATGGTCTTCAACCTTTTTGGCATGAGGGACCGTTTTCATGGAAAACAATTTTTCCACAAAGTGGGAGGGGGATGATTTAGGGATGATTCAAGTACATTTATTGTGCACGTTATTTCTATTATTACTACATTGTAACATATAATCAAATAATTATACAACTCACCATAATGTGGAATCAGTAGGAGCCCTGATCCTGTTTTCCTGCAACTAGATGTCCCATCTTGGGAGGGATGGGAGAATGTGACACAGCATCAGGCATTAGAATCTCATAAGGAGCATTCAAACCTCGCATGCGCAGTTCACACTAGGGTTAGCGCTCCTAAGGGTCTCTAATGCCGCAGCTGATCTGAAAGGCAGGTGGAGCTCAGTTGGTAATGGCAATGATGCGGAGCAGCTGTAAGCACAGCTGAAGCTTAGCTCACTCGCCCTCCGCTCACCTCCTGCAGTGTGGCTCAGTTCCAACAGGCCACGGACCAGTGGTCCGTGGCCAGGAAGTTGAGGAGCCCTGTAATAAAGTATCCTGAATGTGACTCGGGAATAACAAAAAGGACATTAAGGAAAACTGTTAAAATCCAAATACATTGACCAGTTGAGTTAATAGTAATGCACCAATGATGGTTTTTTAAGTTGTGAGAAATGTACTCTGCTGAGGTTGGATGATAACAGTAGGAGAAACTCAGGAGTTTATGGGACTCGTCTGTACTGTCTCTGCATATTTTCTGTAAATATAAAACTATTCCCCAATTAAAAGTTTATTTTAAAAATTCTTCATTAGCAATATAACCAGGCTATTTATTGTTATAATACATAATAGTTATTTACTCATAGCCTCTGAGTTTTTATCAGAGCTTTTAAAACTTTCATCAAAGTAAATTTTGACAGATCATTTTATTGAGATGCAAAATCTCTCCATCAGAGAATCTTTAATCTATTAAGTTCTCCCAGAAAAGCTGATGTTAAATTGTTTTGCATACTTTCATGTTCCATATGGGAATGCTGAAGGAAAGCTTCAGCCATATAAAATGATCTATTTGTTTGGGTACTATTAAGGTGCTTGGTAGAATGAGTTTTCATTATTAATATTTACTGAATGCTATAATTCCATAGTACAGATCCATTAATTATGCCTCCCCTGAAAGCATAATTAATGGATCTGTCCTATGGGATTAAAGTTTATTTATAAGGATTTCTTGAAGTGAAACATGATCAATTGGGCTGAAATCTTCTGAGTACACAAAAAGATTTAAGTGTAGGTGAAATATTTTAACTTTTTTAAGCCATTAGGGTAAATTCTATAATGATCCTCTAGACCTAATAAAATTAAATTTCCCCCTTTTAAATGTGTTAACTAATTTTAGGATGTATTCTCATAGTTGTAAAATTACACAGAAAATATATACACATGGTTTAGTATACTGCTGCTTTAATAATGGTGTTATCACTGATAAAGCACATAAGATAATTTTGATTTCTATAGTATAAATGGGTTATTTTTCTTAAAAATATATTTCTTTTTTTAGACGTGTCAACTTTCTGTGAAAATTCAGTCATTTATTCAGCCATTCAAAAAGTATTGAGTACACATTAAACTTCCCTGCTCTTAGACTTTAAGTTTTGCCATGATTGTTCCCATTGGTAAGACCTGGTTAAGCTTGCTGTTGGCCCAAGAACTTAGTAAGAAAGGGAATACAGAATACCTAATTGTGACACAGAAAAACATCTCTCATATATATACACATATATATATATACACACATATATATACACTATATATGTGTGTATATATATATATGTGTATATATATATATAAACACACATACATATTAGTGGGTAGATTTTCAGTGTCTAATGTGTGTCCTTCACTAGTTATACCTGCAAAAGGCAAGAAGCCAAGAGGCCTGGACTCCTCCAATCCAGGGTGCTGACTTCTGAATTACAGGCACTCCTCTCAGAGGAACAAGGCTGATTCCACTACTTCATTCTCTAAGTGGTGCATATTCCATGCCTCAGTGTTTGTTGTTTTAGCAGTAAACCAAAACAAGAGCGATAGGAAATTGAGTTTAATCTCTAAATCTGGACTACCCCTTGTACTTTAGTCTGGTTCAACAACCTTTTCCATTCCGGTCACATCTTTTACTGGTCTTGTTTCCTCCAAGTGAAAATGCAAGCTTTTTTCTTTATAATATATTCTTAGAGTTTATAGCTGCTGTTTTTGCCTTCCTAGCATCCAGTTCATTTCACTTGTTAACATTCTGGTTTTCCATTGGGGAGTGAGTTCTCCTAAACTTTCAATCCATTTGCTTTGAATACTGCTGGTCCAAAACCCTTAAAATAGATGTGAGCATATAATCAAGGCCTAATCAACATTTCCTGCCAGTCACAAAATGGCACAGAAGCCGCATTATTTAAACAAAGCTCAAATCTGGGAATTGTGGTGGAATTTTGAAAAGTAGATGCTCTCATTCAGCTAACACACCAGAGGTCATAAGAACGTGTTTCTGTCTGAATTGACTGAAGTCACCAAGTAGATGGAACATCCTTAGGAGCAAATCCAACACTGAGTCAATCTAGGAAATGGCAAGAAATACACTAAGTTCCAAGGGAATCTTTGGTATATTGATAATCCAGCTCTACATGGACAAATAATTTTCACAAAACAGTGTGTCTAATATGTAAGCATTATGTCTCATATAGACATGTGTTGCTTAATGATGAAGAGAAATTCTAAGAAATGCATCGTTAGGTGCTTTTGTCACTGTGCAAACATTACAGAGTGTACGTATACAAACCTAGATAGCTTAGTCTACTACACATCTAGGCAATATGGTTTAGCGTATTGCTCTCAGGCTACAAGTCTGTACAGCATGTTACTGTACTGAATATTGTAGGCAACTGAAACACAATGGTATTTGTGTATCCAACCATATCTAAACATAGAAAAGTTATAGTAAAAATACAGTATTATAATTATACAGCACATAACTGTATGGGAATAAGCACTATGATTGAGAAGTTTCAAGTTATAAAATCTAAAATTTAGAATTGGCTAACAAAAGTAGACAGCCATGATACCACTTTATTCTAGGCTGGAAAGTTAACAATATTTATATAATAGCAAGTTAGTTTATTACTTTCTACATTTTTGGAGCTTAGGTTATATATTTTTGAATTGGGAACATCATAAGACTTTATCACAAAAATGCCTGGATATAAAAGTATTTACTACTTTTTAAAAATTTTTGTACATATTTTTAATTTGGATAACATATTCACATAGTCCAAAATTCAAAAAGTACAACATATTTTTCCAGAAATAATGTCTTTCTTTTACCACTAGTGACCAGCCATCCAGAGGCCACCAATTTTAGCAATGTATTATATAACCTTCTACAGATGTTATATGGTTAAAAATAGAAAAATATACACAAATATTTATATACAGTTATTTATTTTTATACATATAGGGTAATATATATATTATTATTAAACTTGCTGTTTTACCATATATTTATGTATAATGGGTTCCCCTACTATTTGTTATGACTGTATATCAATACTATATAGTATTACATTTTATGGGTATATTATAATGTAGTTAACTAGTGTTATATTCTCTTTTGCATTACAAACAGAGCTGAAGTGAATAATCTTATATTTTCTGCAAATTTACCTATAAGATATATTTTGAGATGTGAAATTACTGGGCTGAAAGATACATTCAAATGTAATTTTGAATAATATTACAAAATTGTCCTGCATAGAGATTCTACCAGTATACACATCCACATAAGGCTTAAGAGTGAGTATTTTCCCACTGCCTCACCATATATTCTCTACTTGAAAAGGCTTTTAGTACAGATCCGAAGGTAAACAAAAGCTCTGGTTCACCCTCCTGAAATCACAGAGAGGACAGAAAGCAGCTTTTTAAATCCTCTTTCCTCCTGGTATCAATAATCTAAGACAGCTGGGAGATATAATATCCCAAGAGATGATTGTCTCAGTGTTGACTTAGCTTTGCTCTTAGCTCTACTCTGATCTTGTGATACAATTCCAATTACTAATCTCTTGCTTTAGTGTTTAGTCACTAACTGAAAGCTAAATCAAAGCTGTGACCAAACCCTAGAATAACCCAAATTACTAGGCTATGGCAAGGCAATAACCCAGCTCATCCCTTCAGAGTGAATCTCACAGAAGAAATCAGAAATTGGTCCTTAGTTTGGAAGGTTCAGAAATTAAACTACATCAATTCACATAGGGACGAGTAGGTTTTGTGGGGATGATTCAAAATTAACTGAATAATGAACTGTACTTTGTCAGATACTGGCCAACATATTAACTAATAATGGAAACTAAACTTAGCATAAGAATTATTGGTAATCTATTTATAAAGTTCTTTGCTTTTGGTGAACAGAATCACTCAGAAACCACACTACAGACCTAAAGGTTCTTTGTTTCATATAAAGGTAGGAAGCAATAACTGGATCCTCTCAAAAGATGCTAACATCAAGTTATGGTAAATATATAAATAAATATAAATCATTCAGAATCAGGGCACTTTCTCATTTGAACAGTGTTAGAGCATCACCACAATGACTACCATTCATACTAGCTCATTTATTTACAAAAAAATCTACTATAGAAAATACAACTATTTCATGCCAGATACACTGCAGTGTAATTGAGAAGATAAATACCTAATTTTATTAGTAATATTTTTAAAACCAGCTTATTTTTATTGATAGTGGTATTGGTTACTGCAACAATAACTAAGCTTATTGGTTTTATCTTGCTCTTGTTTGCTTCGATTTTAGAAAACTGCAGTTTCTAACTTTATGTCAAAATTCTAGGAGTTCATATATTTATTTGAACCTTTAAGTCCTTGTAGCATTCCCCCAAGGTGCTATATAGATACTTGGAGGCTGAGTCCCTATTTTAACCCACAATTTTTCCCAGGGAAAGAAATTCTGTCTCTGACCCCTTATCTATGTAGGGGGATCTGAACCAATTGTGGCAAGGCCTCTTTATGTTTTGGTCTATGACTTGAATCTTCATATCCCTCAGTTCATTTATCTTATTAAATATTCTTGGTATGTTCAGCAGTGTCCAACCAGTCAGAATTGTTTTCTAGTTTTATTAACGACATTTAACTGACAGTCTTGAGAACCTATAATGAACAAGATACTATAATGTGTGCTTAATAAGAAAAAATCTTTGCCTCCAATTACCTTAAGTTCATTAGGGGAGACAAGCAAGTATTAAAAGTACAAACTAGAAAAAGGAATAAACGAATAAATAGATAGAAAAAGGAACAAAATTCCAACTATTCAAAGACAATCACAAATAAAATATATATTTTTAGATATTTAAAAGTAGATATTTAAAGATTTGAAAGGAAAAGATCCAAGATGGCCGAATAGAAGCAGCTGCGGTCCATGGCACTCACAGAGAGGAATGAAAAGGGGCGAATGAATTCAACGTTTTCAACTGAAATTTCCAGGTTCTCATACTGGGACTGAAAGAGACTTAGAAGGACTTAGAGAGAAATGTCTGATGGAGCTGAAAAACACAACACAAGAACTTCACAATTCAATCACAGGTAGCAGAATAGATCAAGCATAGGAAAGAATTTCAGAGCTTGAACACTATCTTTTTGAAATAAGACAGGAAGACAAGAATAAAGAAAAAAGAATGAAAATAAATGAACAAAACCTCCAAGAAATATGGGATTATGTAGAGACTGAACCTACGACTGATTGGGGCACCTGAAAAAGATGGGGAGAATGGAATGAAGCTGGAAAACATACTCCAGGATATCATCCAGAAGAACTTCCCCAACCAAGCAAGACAGGCCAACATTCAAATTCAGAAAATGCAGAGAACCCCAGTAAGATACTTCACAAGAAGTTTAACCCCAAGACACATAGCCATCAGACTCTCTAAGATTGAAATAAAAAAAAATAGGTTAAGGGCAGCCAGAGAGAAAGGCCAGTTCACCTAGAAAGGGAAGCCCATCAGACTAAAAGTGGACCTCTCAGTGGAAAGCCTACAAGCCAGAAGAGAGTGGGGGCCAATATTCAGCATCCTTAAGGAAAAAAATTTCCAACATAGAATTTTATATCTGGCCAAACTAAGGTTCATAAGTGAAAGAGAAATAAGATCATTTTCAAACAAACAAATGCTTAGGGAATTCATCACTACCAGGCCTGCCTTGCAAGAGCTCCTGAAGGAAGCACGTGATAGGGAAGGGAAAAACTGTTACCAGCCACTACAAAAACACACTGAAGTACACACACCAGTGACACTAAGAAGCTACCACCTAAACAAGTCTGCAAAATAACCAGCTAGCATCATTATGACGGGATCAAATTCACACATAACGGTATTAACCTTGAATGTCAATGGGCTAAATGCCCCAATTAAAAGACACAGAATGGCAAGCTAGATAAAGAAAAAAGACCCATCGGTGTGCTTCTTGAAAAGATCCATCTCATGTGCAAAGACAAACATAGGCTCAAAATTAAGGGATGGAGGAAAATTTACCAAGGAAATGGAAAAAAGAAAAAAGCAGGGGTTGCAATCCTACTATCTGACAAAACAGAATTTAAACCAACAATGATTAAAAAAAAAAAAAAGAGACGAAGGACATTATATAATGGTAAAGAGTTCAATTCGACAAGAAGTGCTAACTATCCTAAATATATATACACTCAATACAGGAGCACCCAGATTCATAAAGCAAGTTCCTAGAGACCTACAAAAAGACTTCAACTCTCACACAATAATAATGGGAGACTTTAATGCCCCAATAACAATATTAGGCAGATCACCGAGATAGAAAATTAACAAAAATATTCAGGACCTGAACTCAGCTCTGGATTAAGTGGACCTGACGGATATCTACAGAACTCTCCACCCCAAAACAACAGTGTATACATTCTTCTCATTGTCACATGACACATACTCTAAAATTGATCACAAAATTAGAAGTAAAACACGCCTCAGCAAATGCAAAAGATTTTAAATCATAAAAAAACTATTGAACCACAGCCCAAACTAGAAATCAAAACTAAGAAATTCACTCAAAACTATACAATTACATCAAAATTCAGAAACTTGCTCCTGAATGACTTTCGGGTAAATAATAAAATTAAGGAAGAAATCAAGAAGTCCTTTGAAATGAATGAGAACAAGGATACAACATACCAGAATCTCTGGGACATAGCTAAGGCAGTGTTAAGAAGGAAATTTGTAACCCTAAATGTCCACATCAAAAAGTTATAAATATCTCAAGTTAAAAACCTAATATCACAAGTAAAAGAACTAGAGAACCAAGAGCAAATAAATATCAAAACTAGCGGAAGACAAGAAATAACCAAAATCAGAGCTGCACTGAAGCAGACTGTGACAAACACTTCAAAAAAATCAACAAATCCAAGAGCTACTTTTTTGAAAAAAATTAATAGCATAGATAGACCACTAGCTAGACTAATAAAGAAAAGAAGTAAGATTCAAATATCCACAGTCAGAAACAATGGGGATATTACCACTGACCCAACAGAAATACAAAAAAAGCCCATGACCAGACAGATTCACAGCTGAATTCTACCAGAGGTACAAAGAAAAGCTTTTACCATTTCTATTGAAACTATACCAAGAAATTAAAAAGAAGGGACTACTTCTCCCTAGTTCATTCTATGAGGCCAGCATCATCCCCAAACCTGGCAGAGATACAACAACAAAAAAACTTCAGGCCAGTATCCTTGATGGACATCAATGCAAAGATCCTCAATAAAATACTGACAAAAAAAAAAAAATCCAGCAGGACATCAAAACGTTTATCCACCATGATCAAGTGGCTGCATCCCTGGGATGCATGGTTGGTTCAAAATAAGCAAATCAGTAATTCTCATTTGACACATAAACAGAACAAAAGTGAAAGCCGCATGATTATCTCAATAGGTGCAGAAAAGGCCTTCAATAAAATTCAACATCTCTTCATGTTTAAAAACTCTTAATAAACTAAGTATTGAATGAACATACCTCAAAATAATAAAAGCCACATATGACAAATCCACAGCCAATATCATACTAAATGGGCAAAAGCTGGAAGCATTCCTCTTGAAAACTGGCACAAGACAAAGATACCCTCTCTCACAGCTCCTATTCAACACAGTATTGGAAGTTCTGGCCAGGACAATCAGGCAAGAGAAAGATATAAAGCATATTCAAGTAGGATTATAGGAAGTCAAATTATCTTTGCTTACAGATAACATGACACTATATCTAGAAAACCCAACCATATCAGCACTAAAGCTTCTTAAGCTAATACACAATTTCAGCAAAGTCTCAGGATACAAAATCAATGTGTAAAAATCACTAGCATTCCTATATACTAACAACAGGCAAGCAGGGAGCCAAATCATGAATGAATTCACATTTACAATTGCTACAAAAAGAATAAAATTCCTAGGAATACAGCTAACAAGGGAAGTGAAGGATATCTTCAAGGAGAACTACAAATCACTGCTCAAAGAAATCAGAGAGGACACAAAGAAATAGATAAACCTTTCATGCTCACGGATAAGAAGAATCAGTATCATCTGAATGACCATACTTCCCAAAAGTAGTTTATACATTCAATGCTATTCCCATTAAACCATGTTGACATTCCTTGCAGAACAAGAAAAAAACAGTTTATAATTCCAATGGAACCAAAAAAGAGCATAAATAGCCAAGACAATCCTAAGCAAAAAGAACAAAGCTGAAGGCATCATGCTACCTGACTTTAAATCATACTACAAGGCTTAAGTAATCAAATCAGCATGGTACTGATACAAGAACAGACACATAGACCAATGAAGCAGAAGAGAGAACTCAAAAATAAGATCACACATGTACAACTATCTGATCTTCAACAAAGCTGACAAAAACAAGTAATGGGGAAAGGACTCCCTACTTAATAAATGGTGCTGGGAGAACTGGCTAGCCATATGCAGAAAATTGAAACTGTACCTCTTCCTTACACCATATACAAAAATTAACTCCAGAGGAATTAAAGACTTACATATAAAACCCAAAACTATAAAAGCTCTAGAAGAAAATCTGGTCAATACCATTCAGGACATAGGCATGAGCAAAGATTTCATGATAAAAATACCAAAAGCAATTTCAGCAAAAGCAAAAATTGACCAATGAGATGTAATTAAACTAAAGAACTGCTGCACAGCAAAAAACAAAACAAAACAAAAAACAACAACAACAACAAAAAACTATCACTAGAATGAAGTGACAACCTAGAGAATGGGAGAAACTTTTTGCAATCTATCCATCTGACAAAGGGACAAAGGTCTAATATCCAGAGTCTAGAAGGAACTTAAACAAATTTACAAGAAGAAAACAAACAATCCCATTAAAAAGCAGGCAAAGGACTTGCATAGACACTTCTCAAAAGAAGACATACATGCAGCCAACAAACAAACAAAAAAGCTCAACATCACTGATCACTAGAGAAATGCAAATCAAAACCACTATGAGATACCATCTCACACCAGTCAGAATGGTTATTAAAAAGTCAAAAAAAAAAAAAAAACAGATGCTGGCAAGGTTGCAGAGAAAAAGGAATGTTTTTACACTGTTGGTGGAAGTGTAAATTAGTTCTACCATTGTGGAAGACAATGTGGTAATTCCTCAAAGACCTAGAGGCAGAAATATAATTTGAACCAGCAATCCCATTACTGGGTATATACCCAAAGAAATATAAATCATTCTATTATAAAGATACATGCATGCATATGTTCACTGCAGCACTATTCACAATAGCAAAGACATGGAATCAACCTAAATGCCCATCAATGATAGACTGAATAAAGAAAATGTGATACATATACACCATAATATACTATGCAGCCATAAAAAAGAACGGGATCATGCCCTTTACATGGACATGGATGGAGTTGAAAGCCATTATCCTCAGCAAACTAGTGAAGGAACAGAAAACCAAATACTGTATATTCTCACTTTTAAGTGGGACCTAAATGATGAGAACACATGGACATATAGGGGAAAACAACACACACTGGGACCTGTTGGAGGGGGTTTGAGCGGGAAGAGAGTATCAGGAAGAATAGCTAATGGATCCTGGGCTTAATACCTAGGTGATGGGATGCTCTGTGCAACAAACCACCATGGCACACATTTACCTATAACAAACCTGCACACCCTGCACATGTACCCCTGAACTCAAAGTAAAAGTTGAAGAGAAATAGATAAAAATTTTAAAACATAATATAATCATTAATGCATCATTAATGTATATAATAATTTCTATCTAAACTTTGCACCTAGCTATATTCTCAGGATTTTTCTTACATCAAATATTTTTCTTAAGTTTACATTATATGGAATGAATAAATTTCCATCATATAAAAATAACTTCATTAATCCTGTCATTAGATATTTTGTATTTCCATTTTTTCTGTATAATGTTGTGATGACATTCTTAAGACAGATATGTGAATATTTCTTTAAATGCACTTGTAGAGTTATAAAGTCTCAGTTAAAGGCTATGCACACAATTGAATAGCTTCACATATATTATCAATTTCCCTCCAAAGCTAATGCCTTAATTTTTACTACCACTTGAGGAGTTTGAGGGTTCTAAATGTATCATATCTTCAACTGGCAAAGAGAAATTGATCAGGATATTTAATAGGTTGTGATTTACCAATTCGTTAACTTTTAGGGGAAAAAATCAGATCCTTAAATTGCATTATAGTAAACTATAACTGGATTAAAATACTAAATATAAATCAGCCCACAAGAACCACTTGAAGAAAATGTAAGTAAAAATTACCTTTCAGTTACAATAGAACAAGGAGGGCTTCTCTGAACATAAACATAAATAAATAATAAAGACAAAGACTGACCTAAGTGACTATGTTGATTTTTTTACATATTAAAGAAAACATCATAAAATTATAAAACAAAGAAAATATTTGGAAGTTCTGAGGATGGGTAGGAACACTTATTCCTCATTCCTCATTCCCGGTACCAGAAGCTCTACTAGTGTTACACTCCCAGCCTTTCTCCCTAGCAAAGAAATATTACTTTTCTTGCTAATAAATTTGGGGTGAATGAACTCAGTGTTTTTGGTTCTGCTTATTCCTCTTTTGCTAGCAGGATCACATGCAGAGAACGTGTGTTCTGCTCAGCAGTTGTACAGTTGGCTTTTTACTGCTAAGGTCTGAGCGAGAACATTAAGCCTCAGATCATAAGAAGGTTTAACCTGGAAGGTTGTCTGAAGCTTATGGAGGCTTTTCCCTCAGGCATGACGCTATTTTTATATAGTCTTGTGAGACTGAAATGATGGCTTGTGAGATGAATGTGTCTCAGCAAAGCCTCTGGGTCCAACAACATCAGAAAAGACAAAGACCACAGGTAGCTTTAGCTAAAACACAGAGCCTCAGGAGGTGCAAACTGCTGCTGGTTGACCTTGAACTACACAGATCCATTTTTCATTGACAGATTTGGCTGATAGAGCACTGAAATGAAAGGAAAGAGTATCTTTCCATTCTGGGGCTTTTTAAGTTCAGTAGGTAGGATAATATTGGCAGCTTGTAAACCGAAAGCTGTGTTCTGCATCTGCTACAGAGTGCTAGGATGCTTCCAGCTTTAAATTCTGAGAGTGAGGCCTACTCGTTACAACTAGCTGTGCTGCCTGAGGTAGGTGGCTTCTAGCATGTTCACAAATGATCCCTACCTCCTTGTATTTGCACTCTCATGTCATCCTTGAGTGTGGGCTGGATTTCACAGTGCACTTGTGATGAATAAAATATGGCAAATGCACCATTACAAAGACACTGTAGAAGGGTGAGTGTGGAAGCTGAAAGACCACTCCAAAGTGATTATAACAGTTTGAGAGATAATGGATGTTTGGACAAAGTTTTTAGCAGTGGAAGTAGTAAAAACTGTTTGAATATTATATATATATATATATATTTTTTTTTTAAGGTAGAAATGACAGAATTTCCTCATAGTTTGGATATGGGCTATGAGAGAAAAGAGAAGGCAGAATGATTTCCAAGGTGTTGTCTGGGTAAACAGATTCTGTAGGAATTTAATGGGATAGGGAAGATGGCAAAAGGTACACATGTACACATTTGAAGTGTAAAGTCCAGTAATTCAGCTTGTTCAAGTTAAGTTTGAAATTCCAAATGGACATCACAGTAGAGGTGCACTGTGAATGACTACACTGGCGGAGATAGGATTGAGAACAAGATTATTGAAAAAAAAAACAGTTCAAGGAGCTAAAATCCAAGGTGAGACAAAGATAAGCTATGTGTCTAAACATGGACTATTTTAGAAGCAACATTGGAAATAATGAACATGAGTGAGGACTATAATCTTCAAAGAATAGACAAGAGTGTGCTGGGGTTGGGATGAAGACTACAATGAAGAGGGGTAGCAAGTGATACAGTCTGATGGCATGGGCTTCCTGCCAAAAATTATGAGGGGAGCAGGAAAAGACAGTGGTTAGGAAATTATAAGGAGGAATAAGATGGACACCTGCCTCTTCTCTAAGCTTCATAACATGATGGGTATGGCTTTTAAAAATCCACTATTGAGCTTATGCTACTTGGAAGTCATGACTTCATCAAACTCATTCTTTCACAAACCCTCTCAAAAAGGACAAATGGTTTAGCATATCCTGTGGCAAACATACCCAGGACAAGCTAATCAATTTACAATAAAAACTACATAAGGGAATGAGCAGAATAAACAGAAAGAATATACTTCAACTTTACACACAATGTGCAAATTTTGTTTTGCTGTATAGCATATGTTCTAAACTTTAGGGGGATAATCAACGGTTTACTTCATTTTCTGTAATTTTTCCTTGTCCAAATTCTCTCAAGCTCTCAAGAAAACCTGTAGTATTCACCAGAATCTCTCTAGCCCTAACAGCTGAATCCTAATTACTGAAGGCATCCTCTCTCCTATTTTGCAAAAATCTCTGCTATTAAGATTATCTTTAACTTTTGTTGTGGTTTTATTTGTTTTAATCTTAATTTTAATTAATTAATTGACTTTTTAGAGACAGGGTCTCACTGTCACCTAGGCTGGAGTGCAGCAGCACAATCACAGCTCACTGCAGACTTCAACTTTGGGGCTTAAGAGATCCTCCCGCCTTAACCTCCAAAAGTGCTGGGATTACAGGTGTGAGCCACCATGCCAGGCCACTTTGTTTGTTTTTAAATAATTTAATTCACCATGTGAAAGGGCAATTTTTAGGTGGTTTTCAGTCTTAGTCCATTAGGGTTGTTACAACAAGATACCATAAACTAGGTAACTTTTAAACAACGGAAATTTATTTCTCACAGTTGTGGAGGCTGGGAAGTTTAAGATTGAGACATAGGGAGTGGTTCCAAGATGGCTGAATAGGAACAGCTCCAGTCTACAGCTCCCAACATGAGCGACCCAGAAGATGGGCGATTTCTGCATTTCCAACTGAGGTACCAGGTTCATCTCACTGGGGCTTGTCAGACAGTGGGTGCAGGACAGTGGGTGCAGTCCAACAAGCGTAAGCTGAAGCAGGGCAAGGCATCGCCTGACCCCGGAAGTGCAAGGGGTCAGGGAATTCCCTTTCCTAGCAAAGGGAAGCTGTGACAGACGGCACCTGGAAAATTGTGTCACTCCCACCCTAATACTGTGATTTTCCAATGGTCTTAGCAAACAGCACACCAGGAGATTATATTCTGAGCCTGGCTCGGAGGGTCCCACGACCATGGAGCCTCGCTCATTGCTAGCACAGCAGCCTGAGATCCAACTGCAAAGGAGGCAGTGAGACTGGGGGAGGGGCGCCCACCATTGCTGAGGCTTGAGTAGGTAAACAAAGCAGCCAGGAAGCTCAAACTGGGTGGAGACCACCACAGCTCAAGGAAGCCTGCCTGCCTCTGTAGACTCCACCTCTGGGGGCCGGGCATAGCCAAACAAAAGGCAGCAGAAACCTCTGCAGACATAAATGTCCCTGTCTGACACCTTTGAAGAGAGTAGTAGTTCTCCCAGCATGGAATTTGAGATCTGAGAATGGACAGACTGCCTCCTCAAGTGGGTCCCTGACCCCCGAATAGCCTAACTGGGAGGCAACCCCCAGTAGGGGGAGACTGACAACTCACATGGCCGGGTACCTCTCTGAGATGAAGCTTCCACAGGAACAATCAGACAGCAACATTTGCTGTTCAGCAATATTTGCTGTTCTGCAGCCTCTGTTGCTGATACCCAGGCAAACAGGGTCTGGAGTGGACTTCCAGCAAACTCCAACAGACCTGCAGCTGAGGGTCCTGACTGTTAGAAGGAAAACTAACAAACAGCAAGGACATCCACACCAAAACCCCATCTTTATGTCATGATCATCAAAGACCAAAGCTAGATAAAACCACAAAGATGGGGAAAAAACAGAGCAAAAAAGCTGAAAATTCTAAAAATCAAAGCACCTCTCTCCCTCCAAAGGAACACAGCTCCTCACCAGCAGTGGAACAAAGCTGGATGGAGAATGACTTTGACGAGTTGAGAAAAGAAGGCTTAAGATGATCAAACTTCTCCAAGCTACAGAAGGAAGTTCGAACCCATTAAAAGAAGCTAAAAACCTTGAAAAAAGATTAGATGAATGGCTAACAAGAATAACCAGTGTAGAGAAGTCCTTATATGACCTGATGGAGCTGAAAACCATGCCATGAGAACTACGTGACAAATGCACAAGCTTCAGTAGCGAATTCAATCAACTGGAAGAAATGGTATCAGTGATTAAAGATCAAATGAATGAAATGAAGTGAGAAGAGAAGTTCAAAGAATAAAGAGCAAAAAGAAATGAACAAAGCCTCCAAGAAATATGGGACTATGTGAAAAGACCAAATCTAGGTCTGATTGGTATACCTGAAAGTGATGGGGAGAATGGAACCAACTTGGAAAACACTCTGCAGGATATTATCCAAGAGAACTTCCCCAACCTAGCAAGGCAGGCCAACATTCAAATTCAGGAAATGCAGAGAACGCCACAAAGATACTCCTCGAGAAGAGCAACTTCAAGCCACATAATTGTCAGATTCACCAAAGTTGAAATGAAGGAAAAAATGTTAAGGGCAGCCAGAGAGAAAGGTCGGGTTACCCACAAAGGGAAGCCCAACAGACTAACAGCTGATATCTCGGCAGAAACTCTACATGCCAGAAGAGAGTAGGGGCCAATATTCAACATTCTAAAAGAAAAGAATTTTCAACCCAGAATTTCATATCCAGCCAAACTAAGCTTCATAAGTGAAGGAGAAATAAAATCCTTTACACACAAGCAAATGCTGAGAGATTTTGTCATCACCAGGCCTGCCCTAAAAGAGCTCCTGAAGGAAGCACTAAATATGGAAAGGAACAACCGGTACCAGCCACTGCAAAAACATGCCAAATGGTAAAGACCATCGATGCTTGGAAGAAACTGCATCAACTGATGAGCAAAATAAACACCTAACATCATAAAGACAGGATCAAATTCACACATAACAATACTAACCTTAAATGGAAATGGGCTAAATGCTCCAATTGAAAGACACAGAATGGCAAATTGGATAAAGAGTAAAGACCCATCAGTGTGCTGTATTCAGGAGACCCATCTCACATGCAGAGACACACATAGACTCAAAATAAAGGGATGGAGGAATATCTACCAAGCAAATGGAAAACAAAAAAAAGTGGGGGTTGCAATCCTAGTCTCTGATAAAACAGACTTTAAACCAACAAAGATCAAAAGAGACAAAGAAGGACATTACACAATGGTAAAGGGATTAATTCAACAAGAAGAGCTAACTATCCTAAATACATATGAACCCAATACAGGAGCACCCAGATTCATAAAGGAAGTCCTTAGAGACCTACAAAGAGACTTAGACTCCCACACAATAATAATGGGAGACTTTAACACCCCACTGTCAACATTAGACAGATCAACGAGACAGAAAGTTAACAAGGATATCCAGGAATTGAACTCAGCTCTACATCAAGCGGACCTAATAGACATCTACAGAACTCTCCACCCCAAATCAACAGAATATACATTATTCTCAGCCACACACTGCACTTATTCCAAAATTGACCACATAGTTGGAAGTAAAGCACTCCTCAGCAAATGGAAAAGAACAGAAATTATAACAAACTGTCTCTCAGAACACAGTGCAATAAAACTAGAACTCAGGATTAAGAAAGTCACTCAAAACTTCTCAACTACATGGAAACTGAACAATCTGCTCCTGAACAACTACTGGGTACATAACGAAATGAAGGCAGAAATAAAGTTGTTCTTTGAAACCAATGAGAACAAAGACACAGCATAATAGAATATGTGGGACACACTAAAAGCTGTGTGTAGAGGGAAATTTATAGCACTAAATGCCCATAAGAGAAAGCAGGAAAGATCTAAAATTGACACCCTAACATCACAATTAAAACAACTAGAGAAGCAAGAGCAAACACATTCAAAAGCTAGCAGAAGGCAAGAAATAACTAAGATCAGAGCAGAACTGAAGGCGATAGAGGCATAAAAAACCCTTCAAAAAATTAATGAATCCAGGAGCTGGTTTTTTGAAAAGATCAACAAAATTGATAGACTGCTAGCAAGACTAATAAAGAAGAAAAGAGAGAAGAATCAAATAGACGCAATAAAAAATGATAAAGGTGATATTGCCAATGATCCCACAGAAATACAAACTACCATCAGAGAATACTATAAACACCTCTACACAAATGAACTAGAAAATCTAGAAGAAATGGATAAATTACTGGACACATACACCCTCCCAAGACTAAACCAGGAATAAGTTGAATCCGTTAATAGACTAATAACAGGCTCTGAAATTGAGTCAATAATTAATAACCTACCAATCAAAAAAAGTACGGGACCAGACAGATTCACAGCCGAATTCTAGCAGTGGTACAAGGAGGAGCTGGTACCATTCCTTCTGAAATGATTCCAATCAATAGAAAAGGAGGGAATCCTCCCTAACTCATTTTCTGAGGCCAGCATCATCCTGATACCAAAGCCTGGCAGGGACAAAACAAAAAAAGAGAATTTTAGACCAATATCCCTGATGAACATCGATGAAAAAATCCTCAATAAAATACTGGCAAACTGAATCCAGCAGCACATCAAAAAGCTTATCCACCATGATCAAGTGGGCTTCATCCCTGGGATGCAAGGCTGGTTAAACATATGAAAACCAATAAACGTAATCCAGCATATAAACAGAACCAAAGACAAAAACCACGATTATCTCAATGGATGCAGAAAAGACCTTTGACAAAATTCAACAGCCCTTCATGCTAAAAACTCCCAATAAAATAGATATTGATGGGACATATCTCAAAATAATAAGAGCTATTTATGACAAACCCACAGCCAATATCATACTGAATGGGCAAAAACTGGAAGCATTCCCTTTGAAAACTGGCACAAGGCAGGTGTGCCCTCTCTCACCGCTCCTATTCAATGTAGCGTTGGAAGTTCTGGCCAGGGCAATCAAGCAGGAGAAAGAAATAAAGCATATTCAATTAGGAAAAGAAGAAGTCAAATTGTCCCTGTTTACAGATGACATGATTGTATATTTAGAAAACCCCATCGTCTCAACCCAAAATCTCCTTAAGCTGATAAGCAACTTCAGCAAAGTCTCAGGATACAAAATCAATGTGCAAAAATCATAAGCGTTCTTACACACCAATAACAGACAAACAGAGAGCCAAATCATGAGTGAACTCCCATTCACAATTGCTTCAAAGAGAATAAAATACCTAGGAATCCAACTTACAAAGGATGTGAAGGAAAACTACAAACCACTTCTCAATGAAGTAAAAGAGGACATAAACAAACGGAAGAACATTCCATGCTCATGGGTAGGAAGAATCAATATCGTGAAAATGGCCATACTGCCCAAGGTAATTTATAGATTCAATGCCATCCCCATCAAGCTACAAATGACTTTCCTCACAGAATTGGAAAAAACTAATTTAAAGTTCATACGGAACCAAAAAAAGAGCCCACATTGCCAAGACAATCCTAAGCCAAAAGAACAAAGCTGGAGGCATCACGCTACCTGATATCAAACTATACTATAAGGCTACAGTAAGCAAAACAACATGGTACTGATACCACAACAGAGATCCAGACTAATGGAACAGAACAGAGCCCTCAGAAATAATACCACACATCTACAACCATCTGATCTTTGACAAACCTGACAAAAACAAGAAATGGGGAAAGGATTCCCTGTTTAATAAATGGTGCTGGGAAAACTGGCTAGCCATATGTAGAAACCTGAAACTGGATCATTTCCTTATACCTTCTACAAAAATTAATTCAAGATGGATTAAAGACTTCAATGTTAAACCTAAAACCATAAAAACCCTAGAAGAAAACCTAGGCAATACCATTCAGGACATAGGCATGGGCAAGGACTTCATGTCTAAAACACCAAAAGCAATGGCAACAAAAGCCAAAATTGACAAATGGGATCTAACTAAACTAAAGAGCTTCTGCACAGCAAAAGAAACTACCATCAGAGTGAACAGGCAACCTACAGAATGGGAGAAAATTTTTGCAGTCTACTCATCTGACAAAGGGCTAATAACCAGAATATACAAAGAACTCAAACAAATTAAAAGAAAAAAACAACCCCATCAAAAATTGGGCAAGGATATGAACAGTCACGTCTCAAAAGCAGACATTTATGCAGCCAACAGACACATGAACAAATGCTCATCATCACTGGTCATCAGAGAAATGCAAATCAAAATCACAGTGAGATACCATCTCACACCAGTTAGAATGGCAATCATTAAAAAGTCAGGAAACAACAGGTGCTGGAGAGGATGTGGAGAAATAGGAACACTTTTACACTGTTGGTGGGACTGTAAACTAGTTCAACCATTGTGGAAGACAGTGTGGCAATTCCTCAAGGATCGAGAACTAGAAACACCATTTGACCCAGCCATTCCATTACTGGGTATATACCCAAAGGATTATAAATCATGCTGCTATAAAGACACATGCACACGTATGTTTATTGCGGCACTATTCACAATAGCAAAGACTTGGAACCAACCCAAATGTCCATCAATGATAGACTGAATTAAGAAAATGTGGCACATATATACCATGGAATACTATGCAGCCATAAAAAAGGATGAGTTCATGTCCTTTGTAGGGACACGGATGAAGCTGGAAACCATCATTCTCAGCAAATGTCACAAGGACAAAAAACCAAACACACCACATGTTCTCACTCATAGGTGGGAATTGAGCAATGAGAACACTTGGACACAGGAAGGGGAACATTACACACCGGGGCCTGTTGTGGGGTGAGGGGAGTGGGGAGGGATAGCATTAGGAGATATACCTAATGTAAATGACGAGTTAATGGGTGCAGCACACCAACATGGCACATGTATACATATGTAACAAACCTGCATGTCGTACACATGTACCCTAGAACTTAAAGTATAATTAAAAAAAAAAAAGATTGAGACATAAGCAGATTGCACTGGCAGATTCAATATCTGGTAAGGGCCCATTTTCTGGCTCATAGACGGTGCCTGCTAGCTATGCGCTCACATGGTGGAAGGAAATAAGCAGCTCTGTAGGGTTTATTTATAAGGGCACTAATCTAATTTATTAGGGCTCCAACCTCATAACTGAATCACCCCTCAAAGGTCCCACATCCTACCATCATCACATTGATGATTAGATTTCAATGTATGAATTTTGAACGGATACAAACATACAGATTATGGCAGATTCATACAGCAGAAGGCAGAAGCTGCTTTGCCAGTGCTCTTTGAGTGTACTTTGTACATTTTTTCCTGAAGGGATTAACAGCCTACCAAAGTGGTACAAAAATTACTTTAAACTGAAAACTTCTGAATAGTCAGCAACGACAGAGAGACATTTTCTAAACTTAAGCAGAACCTCCCCCACAATATAGCTGCCATGGACCTTGTCTTGAGAGAACTTTCTGTTTGGGGGAAGTCTAACCCTAGCACAGGGAAGTATAAATTCAATTGATTCAACTGCCCATTAACATTGCTTGATCCTGACTCACTGTAACCTTCACCTCCCAGGTTCAAGAGATTCTCATGCCCCGACCTTCTGAGTAGCTGGGATTACAGGCGTGTACCACCACGCTGGAGTAATGTTTTATATTTTTAGTAGAGACGGGATTTTGCCATGTTCGCCAGCCTGGTCTTGAACTCCTGGCCTCAAGTGACTCACCTGCCTCGACTTCCTGAAGTGCTAGGATTACAGACATGAGCCAAGGTACCCAGCAAGGACCTTCCACACTTTTGCATTGAAGTCTAAGCTGCCCTTTCTTTCCTTCCTTCTTGGATGTTGTTATTGTTGTTGTTTTGAGATAGGGTCTCAGTCTTTCGCCCCGGCTGGAGTGCAGTGGTGGGATCATGGCTCACTGCACCCTCAACCTCTTGAGCTCAAGCGATCCTCCCACCTCAGTCTCCTGAGTAGCTGGGACTACAGGTGCACACCACCACCCTGGTTAATTTTTTTATTTGTAGAGATGGAGTCCCACTATGTTGCCCAGGCTGTTCTCAAACTCCTAGTCTCAAGCCATCCTCCCACTTCAGCCTCCCAAAGTGCTGGAATTACAGGCATGAGTCAAATTATCCAATCAACTCTTGTTGAGTTGGTTTACAAACCGTAACCTCTAGTTCCTCACTACTGGCTAGTTTTTCATGTGTAATAAACTTTCCTCCTATTAACCTGTCTATTGTCGGTTAATTCACAAGCCTCTAACAAGTCAGACCTCAGTTAACAGAGGAAAACTTCCTGCCAACATGTCCCAAATTCAGGTTCAATACATTACATTGGTAGTTTAAAATTGACCATAGTTGGATCATTTATATCATAGAAATTGACAAAGTTAACAATTCACTTTCTAGAGAAAGAAAGAATGACGAAATGCATGGAAAAGATCAATTTGTAAATGGGGAATGCTTTGCCAACTCTATCATTCCCAGGTTCCCATCTCTATATTGCACTACAGATTGGATTTGAAACATCATATTCCTTGTCTGCTCGATTTTATCTTAAGAGTTCCTGTAACTCAGTCTCTCTCCTCTCTAGTTCTTTTCACACCTAGATGTCAGTTCTCTCTGAAACTTGGTTATTCATTTTCCTCCTTTGCTAAAGGAGTTCAATGTCACACACAGAGCACTGACTACATTCCTTACTCTGTAGGCTTGCATTCAGTATCCTCAGAGTGAGAACAACTTCTCTTTTAATTCTTATCACCCCTACTTAAGTCCCTCTCAAGATAAAAAACTGTAATCTGTTTTCCAAGAATCCCTTTAACCACAATTACTATGAAAGCTTTCTAGCTTTCATTCATAATGATCTCTCCACCTAAGCATTTGAAAATGCTCTTGTTTGGTAACCTTAATATCACAAGTCCATCCATCATTTACAACCAAGTTCAAATGCCCAATCCTCCATGAAAACTTCCCTAATGATTTCAACAGTTAAGTAATAATTGCATTTTGCTGAACTCCTATGCATTATCTGCACCTCTTTGAAGCTCTTACAATGGTTTAACTTTATTACATTTTGTGTGTGTGGGCCTGTCTTATATCCTTTCTGGATTTCAAGCTCCCTATGGATATTACACTTCTTATACATGTATTCCTGAGAGTATAGGGTGAAAAGACTTTTGCATAGTAGATACAGGGAAAAATACCTGCAAATCAATTGTTCTCCTTTCATACGCCTTTTATTAAAAAGTATCTCAGGTCACTATTTGCCAATAGGATTCAGAATCATTATGTTAAATGAATGAGGGTTGGACTTGGTCATATCTTTTGAAAGACTCACTAAAGGTTTATGCGGATAGCAAAAATAGTGAACTGAAATGATTGTGGGCGGGGGAAATGTAGTGTCTCAATAAAAGTAGGTAAGAATTGTTTTTTTTTAAATAATTTCCTTACAGGATAAATGAAGTAAGGATCTGGACAAAGAATGGTTTATTTTTGTCTGTTAGATTGCTTATTTTACTCAGGTGCTTTTAATCTTTGTTTACATTTAGTATGTATTTTGAAATATTGGTTTTTTATGTTATGTGAAATAACATAATCAGAAAGAAGACAAGTCAAAGGCATCTTCTGACACTTCTCATCTTGAACTTTACAATCTTGCGCAGGCTTCTGAAACTTTTGATGTATAATAAATAATCTGACGTGCTCTATTAAAATTCTCATTTGGGAATTCACTGCAGAGATTCTGTCTCAGTAGGTCTATCACAGTCTAGGAATCTGTATTTTCAAAATGTATCCAAGCACTTATTTCTTCAGACAGTCTGGAGACTCACTTTGAGAAATATGGCTGAGGTAAGAAGAACCTGCTTAGTTCCTTACACGCAGCCACAGTCTCATAGCTCTTTGCCCTCACTAAGTCTCTTATCTCATCCCAGAATGCTCTGTATCTGTTCTCATCCTTCCTCTCATGCCTGCCCTGTTTCCTTCCACCACTGTGCAGCCCTTAACTAGCACATTCTTATTCATTTTTTTCCCAGCTGTAATTCAGCACCATCCCTCTGCTACAACTGAACACTCTGCTGTTTTGTTCTGAGTCTCAGGCTGTTTGATTTCAAATATCAGCTCCACAGGTATCTAATTATGTGACCTTAGGCAAGTTATATATGCTTTCTGTGCTGCTGTTTTCTCCTCTGTGAAATGGAGAGTAATAGAACCCACTCTTAAAGGTTGTTGGAAGGAGTAAATTAGGAAAAACTATTAAAAACAGAGTTGGCACACAAAGTGCTAAATAAGAAGTGTTAGGTTTTAATGATTATCAAGCTATATCGAAATTATTTGTTTACGTGTCTATATGCTATGATGGTAAGCGAACTTCAGAACAAGTTTATGTGCTTTTCATCTCTATCACAGAAATTACCATCGTTATTCAATTAGGACGTGTCATACAGTTGAATTTAGATAATTAGGTAAAATACAAAACCAAGTGTTTACCTGGGAAAGCTCTTATTTTGGTTAATTCTGCTTAACAGGACTTAAACACCTTTATCTTCATGGCATTAAAAAAAAATTACCAGTTTCTCATTATTTTAACTATAGTAAAATACCAGCATATTAGAAGAGCCATCTTGTCATTCAAACTGATACATATATGACAAATACAATGAGGCATTTTCATAAATAATTGATGAATATGGAACTGCATGGCAGGAGCTAATCAGTTAATGTGGGTGTAAATAAATTCAGCCACAAAACACAGGTGAAAAATCTATAGACATTATTCACCTTGACTGGTGGCACACTTTATTTTCAATTAAAAAGAAAATGAAAAACAAAATCAGCATGATGTTAATCCAGCTTTAATGTTCACTGCCTATAAACTAAAATTGATAGTTGGTATCAGATTTATATTTTGGAAATGTAACCGATGAGTTTTTAATAAAAGTATTTATTTCAAGAACATGCATACTTTTATTCATTAAAAATTTTTATTTAAAATATTTGCATTTCAAAATGTTTTACTGTTGAATTTATTTATTGTTTTGTTACCTAGCTCTTTGTGTCATCTCTATTTCTAAATAATTAACATTAATAAGACTCACATATAATAGTAAAAGTGCTTGCACTCATAAAGTATGATGAAAATCTTATGCAACAATGTAAAAAAATTCCTTGAAAAAATATAAATATCATTACTAGGGTATTAAAATATAAATATTTGGCTTAATAATATCAGTAAATGAAATAAAATGTGCTAATGTAAAGAGATGATTGGTTTTTCCTTTTGACATTTATAAGCTATTGAGATTCCTTTAAAGGAGCAAGTAAAAGTCCCATGTACACAGACAAAAATCACATGACCTCAGACAATCACAACTGTATTGCCTTTACATGTTCCTCCTATGTAAATAAGAGGATTAGTTCCATTCCTTACTCCTTTCTAGGTCTGACATTCTATGATACTTCCAGTAATAATATCTACCCAAAGAGTAAAGTAATAATGAGGGCTTTTAAGATTTGTTTCAGCCTCAATGTTTAGGACTACAATGTAACATCTCATAAATTGATAATGTGCAATAATAGTAAGTGTTATTACCTAATTTCTACAGGTCAATGATTTAGTTTTTACATTAATTCTCCAAAAGAGTGCTTAGTATTAGATGCATTTTAAAACTTCTTTAGTCCCCCAAGTCACGAAATCTATCATTTATGCCAGATCTTTCATTTATATCTGATGAGCTTATCAAGTTCACATTATCTGAGGCTTTTATTCAAAGCACTGTGTCCTTGAATTTAACATTTTAATTTGTTTTTCCATGATACATCTTTTAGTTCCCCAATAGTTGCCAAAGTGTATGGAGATTAGAAATTCTAGATTGGCAAATATATATACATATATATATAAATATAAATAAATATATATACATATATTCTAATTATGGCCTTCTCCCTACATGCCTTCTGAAAGCAAAAGAAGGTAATATTAATAAAGAATGTATGTTACTGGTAAATTGTAGCTCATTGGCATTCAGATTTGGTGGTATATTAAACGATTTCAAAACGTCTTTTCTTCTCTGTAAAATTGAGGATCATAGCCAGCTTTTTAGGAATGCAGCATTTAAATTGGTTTCATAAACTAAAACACACACACACACACACACACACACACACCCCACACACACATCGTGCATTGAGAAAGTGCCAAATATACTGGCTTAATGGAGCTGTTTCTGCTAAAGGGAGGTTGGCACATTTAACAAGTGTTCTCATTCTTTATAAGACTGAAAAAAGATTTTGTGAGTTATACCTAGCTCTGGAAATTTTCTTGAGGAAAACAACAAGTAAACACGAAAACATTTTCCATGCTCCCAAATAATATAATACTTTGAGCAATTGCACAAAACATTCACTAGCACTGAAAGCTTGTATGAATAGCAAAGAAATGTAATGAAGCTTTCTTTGTTACTTTCCATTGACTTTTTCTCCCAATCAACCAGGGAAAGTTAGCATCTATTGCAGACTCAGTAAATCAACTGCCTAGCCAACATTAAGTAACTACCCACTTGACTTCTACGGCTTTCTGAATATGAGGACTCATTAAAAAGTCCATAGCACAAGAAGAAATAAGTTGTGCTTTTCAATTAATCACTAAAACTTGAAGGCTCCAACTCTGGCACACTACAATTGTGGATTATTAAAATATATAAAGTAGTTAGTTAGCAAGGTACCTAATTCATGACAGATGCTTAATAATTATTAACATTTTCACTAAATAAGGATGATACAACAAAATTGGGATTTGTTCCAAATCTTCCAACTCCTACTCTAGTCTTCTTTACATACTGCAATAGCCATTACTCTCTTTCTGGTCATTTATCCTGGTTAAGACTATTAGAACAAATATAAATTTTAAAATCACCATGTCTTTTTTGTTGCCATGAAGGAATTGTTCACAAAATTTTAAACATGTGTTTGCTCTTGTTCTGACAACTAAATTATAAACTGAAGAATATGATTTTTCCTCCCCACTTCTTCTTTCCCCTCTCTCTCTCCTCCTCTTTCTTCTTTCTTTCTCTTTCTTCTTTCTTTCTCTCTTTCTTCTTTTCCTCCTCATAGCATTGTGCAAAATATGCATTAGACACTTAAGAAAGTGATTGGCTGTGGTTTATCTTTGATAGCCTAACTTCAGATATAACAAAAATTAGAGAATTGAAAAAAATTTAAAGCCATATCTATATCTTATTTTATAAGAAACTGAGGCTTGGAGAGTTTTTCATAGGTTACACAATGAATTATTTACAGAATTGACAAGAACCAAATTATATAATCTGTGACTACCACATAATACATGACCTGATTTGTCACCTGAACAATCAATAGGACACCTTTCCAAGGTCATCAAGCTTATTCCACCTTTTATCATTTGTTCACACCTTTTTCTTTTCTTAACCACCTCAATGAAATACTCACTCGACTAGTCTCACCCTGCCAATGAATTTCCTTTGCTGAATGAAATAAAGTCTAGTTTTACAATCACTTTCCTCTCTTCGTAATGTAGATAATCCAACTCTAACTTGTAGCTGGGAAGAGTAAAAGAAAATGTGAATTTGTGGTAAGAATTGTTTTAAACCATTACTATAAACAATTTTCACATCTGTTAATGGAAATAATAATTTCACATCTGTTAATGGAAATAATAATTTTAAAGTTTTAGAGTTTCTATCTCATGAGATTTTAGTGAAGATTAAGTACATATACGTAAAAGGCCTTCTATTAGAACAATAACTGCCACTTAACAAGCATGCAATAAAATTTAGTTACCTGAAGAGAGAATTTGAAGACTCAGCCACTCTGAATAGAGTAAGATTTAGTGAGTCCATCCTTACCCTTAACCTCATCCGCACAAGTGACACTTTACTGAGTTTTAACCCTGACTCTGACATTGTGGAACTGTGTGTGTCTTTCTGGTATAGTAATAGTTTCTTTAGCTCTTTCCACAAATAAAGAGACAAACATCTTTATAAAGAAAAAAGGACATGCATTTAAAATGAGAAAAACGTGAAGGATAATTTTGAAAGCCAAAAGCCCATCTATTATATCTGAATGATAAATGAGCAAAATAAAATACATCTTTTAAGTTTAATTTGATACTCTTTTATTTAATATGGCCCTTTGGTGTTAGAGGACTAAAATAAAATAATATTGTAATTTATGGTTGACGTATTAAAGTCTAGACATGTTTATTGAAGAACCTATTTTGATTAATGTGTTCATGGTATTGAATTATTCTAATTATGTTAGCTAATTGAAATGGTTAATAAAATGGTCGTTCATGAAGTAGAATTCATACGTCAAAATTAACAAGGTACTGTATTTAACCAACATCTTATTGAATGCTAGTACTGTAGCTTGAATTATTGCCTTTCGGTCAAGTGTCCCTTAATGTTACTGCCGTCATTATGCCTATAACACAATCTCTTCTTAATTTTTCCCTTTTAATCCAAGGTGTTTAAATTTAGTTGCCCATGTATAATTTTTCTAATTATAATGCAACAATGGAACACAATCAGGAAACCATGAGGTGAAACGGGCTCTTGGATTAAAGCAGATGCCAAAAATTTATTTGAAGTTAGAAATGAGCAGCATTTTTCTTTTCATATTTAATAAAAGCATTTAATGACATGACAAAGCCATATAAAATTATAAATTAAGTCACATAACACAGACCAGCTATTGAACGGGACAAACTGTCTATAAATAAAAGAAGTTAAATATACTTGCTTAATATTTCAAGTAATTTATCTTTAACTTTATAATGAGATTTGTGAATGAGAAATACCTTCATAAATAAGAGATTTTATGATCATAAGAGCTCTATAAATGTGTCTGGTATTTATCATATATATATATATATATATATATATATATATATACACACATTGAATTGTAAAAGAATATTTAATTGCAAAATTTTAAAAAATTTAATTTAGTTATTTTTTGGTGTGTTCTTCCAGAACATACATTAACATGTCACTTAATATAAGTGTTTCTATTGAGTACATATGGACACAAAGAAGGGAACAACAGACACGGGAACCTATGTGAGGGTGGAAGGTAGAATGGGGGTGAGGATTGAAAACTACTGATCGAGTACTATGTTTATTACCTGGGTGATGAAATAATCCGTATGCCAAACCCCTGTGACATGCAATTTACCTATATAACAAACCTGCATATGTACTCCTGAATGTAAAATAAAATAACATATATGTGTGTATATATATACACATAGATACACACGTACATATGCATGTGTGTATATATACATGTGATATATATACATACACATATATACATGTGATATATACACATGTGATATATTCACATGCATTATACATGTGATATACACACATGTGATATGTACACATGTATTATACGTGTGATATGTACACATGTAATATATACACACGTTTATATACATGTGATATATAATACATGTGTGTATATATGTGATTATGGGATATACATATATATGAGTTTATACATACACATATGTATGGGATTATGGGATACACACATATATATGAGTTTTTTTAAGGTGGTTTGAGAAATACTGGTCTAAGCTGTGTTAGCTTTAGGAATAAAATAATCAAGACTATTTAAACTCTAGAATCCATATGTATCTATCAGAGACAGGTATATCTTTAAGTAAAACTTAGAGGTTTTATGTATGTTTGTATGTATAAACCCTCTGTAAAGATTTAATAGTAAAATTAAAAGAGTTGTGTTTCTACCTTATTAATAAACTTGAGGTAAGGCCACTATATTATTATTTTTATTGTTCTTATTAATAGTTGTTGTCATCTACTAAAGACCTATCATGTCTCAGACACTGCACTGAGCATTTATAACTCTCACAGCAACCATCTTACACATGAACTATTACCTATCTTTTCTAAATTGGGGAATTAAGACTTGGAGAGGTTAATATATTGTTAAAAGTGACATTGAGTAAGCAGCAGAAATGAAATTAGATGTCTCACTTCATTGTTTGAGTCAGATGTCTTGAAATAGAACATAGAAAGGCCCAGATAAAAGCATACAACTTTGTATTCTGGGTTCATGGTCTATGTGATGTAATTTTATCAGGTAGTCAGGAATTCAATCCCAAATGGTCATTCTAGGGAATTAAATCACACATACTAACTTAAAGAGAGACATAAAAAAAATTAAGGAGGCAATAAGGTGGCTCCTTGCTGCTGGAAGAGGATGGAATGATTATGGGAGTACCACTTATGCATGAGGAAAGAATATGGTCTCATTGACCGGGTAAGAGAAATACACTTTGGAAGAAAAGATGAGGAAATTAGGCTAGGAGAAGCAGAAGCCAAAAGGAACTTATAAAACTGTAGAAATATTTGACATGCAGGACAATAGGTTTTCCTAAGACAGAATTTTAATAGGTTTTACAGGACAATAATTAATTCTTTCAGTGGGACAATGTAGGACTTGAAAAGCAAACACAAGACACTGAGTAAGAGAAACCTTTCTCTAAGCGGTGAGTGAAATATTAATTCTCCCTTAAAGAAAAAATGATAATCAAACCAGACATACACTTTTAATACTTAGTTTATGGTAGCAAGCAGATTAGCATTTAAAATGTCTCTTCATTTTTCTACTCAAGTGTTCTTTGACCTCCCATGCTTACCATCCAGGGAGTTATCCAACCCCCTTTCTGAGTATTGTGCCTTCAATATCAATATATTATTGCACGTATCACACTCATATTTTTAAGGCTTAGCACCCCTTCCAGAACATGAATTTCTGACAGGACTCACTTCTGGTGCCCCAAACATATTCCTATGATTAACATTGCATATTCTTGTGTGGAGCACCAGCAGTGACTACCACAATTTGGCCAGCTCTGTGCATACCTGGCCCAAGTTTATTCTTGTTTGCTTTGAAAGGCTTACACCTTTAGAACTCACCCTTCAGAGGAATGCCCTGCATACTGATGTCCTCTCCCCTGCAGGAGTTGCTGGACGTGCCTAGACAGCACTAACCACACATCCAAAACCTCACTGCCTCCCATCCTGGCTAACAGGAGTATAAAAGCCTTACTTCTTTGTCTAGGGTCAGGACAACCTCTGACCTGTAATTTACCCTCCAGAGCTTCCCACAGAATCAGGCTATGTCTGAAACTTCCACTGAATTCTCTCCATTGGCCTGGTTCTTTGTCGTTCATTTCCTGTTTTCTCCACTCCCTTATCACATCTTCCTGGGAGCACTTACTTAATAAGTCACTTACATCTAAATCTTAAGATCAGGGTCCACTAATTGGAGTATCCAATCTACGCCACTGCTTGAATTTGGGTAACACTACTAATTATTTTTGAGATCACTGAACCAAAGCCTGTCCCTGGCATAGAGCAAGTGCTGCATGAATGATAAGTGAATAATATTTACATTAAATATTAGAAATCTTAGTTCAATTTTATCTATATCAACGAGCTGTTTTAAAATAAATATTCTATTTTTAACCACCAATTAATATATTCTAACCAGATATGTTGGGCACTATAAAGAATTGTTTTTTACACACATGGAGCTCTCAGCAATTTGACCCATCACTGTTTACTTTGAGGACTTAGACTTTGACCTACTGAATGCCCAAGAGCATCCAGAGTTCCAAATAATTTGCTTAGTTATCCCCAGAGAGGATGAATCCTGCTTCCCCTCTCCAGATCTAATTCTGTGTTCCCTGCATTGATTTGAATACTAAAAGACTGACAGAGAAAATGTCTTCAAGTTTGAACTCATAAATCATCAGCATTCCAAAGATTAAAATATCACAATACTCTGAAAACAGAATTAAGAACAAATTAAGAAGAACTGCCATCTCTAAATGCTTAGGTAAATGTGTGATGTTGCCAGAGTCCATTTAGTATGCATAAGACTGTTTTAACTCAAACACTTGTACTCAAGTTTGCTTTCTTAGCCCAGATATATGTATATCAGCTATCTTCTCAAGCAATTTTAGTGCTTTTCTAGCATGACAGTATGAAAATATTTTCAGATATGCATTTGAGTAAAAATAATAATATGTATTTATACTGAGATGCCTCGGAATCTGAAAGCACCATTGATTTTTCAAATGGTAATATTATAACCTTTTCTTGTACAAAGTAGGTATTTCACTTAAAGTATTTAAAAATTCCACAGATGTATCAGTTAAGTGTGTTTATTATATTTTTTATTTGTCTCAGTATATACATAAAATAATTTGAATGTGGGAACAGGCTCACAGGAGACACATAACCACCATCATAAAACATCATCCAGCAAGGAATTAACAAGATTATTTACTTGAAAAATTAGTGGGTCTTTTTACTACACTGAGAAGATAAAATTTACTGCAATTTTAAAATTCAGTATATATTAATTAGAGTACTGAGTTTTGATATGGTAACAAGTATATAATATAGTGACAACCATTTAAAGAGTAGCCTAGGTAGAAAAATTATTTAAAAGAATATTTGTAACATAAGGTGGTATATATTATTAAATTGTTTTACAGAAATTTAGTGTACAGTGTTTTGTGTTTTATGAGTTTTCAGGAAAACACCATGCATACATGCATGCACACACACATGCACGTGCACACACACACTTTAAGATTCAGAAATTATTTAGCAAAGGATACAGAATGCATAAGGGTATGAAATGGGTATTGACAGTGACAGCAGATGCAAAAATTCTAAGGTAATTGTTCCTGGCTTCTCATTCCCTAATGAAGTATACAGATGTCCTTAACACGTGGCCTAGGTAGACTCCAGAGTTGAAAACACAAACTAATATTTGCTACTGCTTTTTGATACTTGGACTTATAACACCATCTCAGAAAAATGCACATTAACATTCTATGTTTCTGCATTTAAAGAAATGTTTATGAATATCGAGCTTTTCTGGTTTCTGTACAGAACTCAGGCTCAACAAAGACACCTTAACAAAGGTGACTGGGATGAGGACAGGCTACAGAGTTAGATCAGAGTCAGCGCGCAGGTATCCGAAAATTATTTTTGTCTCTTGTTTTCCAGAAAAGTATTTCCCTGCAGTGTGAAGTAATCACTTCTTGTTGGTGACCCATCAATTATGAAGTATATGTTCTAAGGCATTTTATATTAGTCCTTCCTTCTCTTCCTTCCTTTCAGTCTACCTAGCTCGTTTGGGGTGGCTGTTGTATGGTTTGAATGCTGTCTGAGGTTGTGGGTGGAAGGAAGGAGGGCTCCCAAGGGGGCCACTCTCCACTCTGGCAGAGACGAAGGGCTCCAGGAATGTTTCTATTCCTAATTCAAACTCCTGGTTAGGATGAAAAGGAAGCACTTCTAAAGTGTAGTGCTTTACTTTATCTCAAGGCAGGCCTGGGAGAATATGAACTTCTCACCCCAGCTGAGGACAACTGCAGGTTTCCAAAAGAGGCTGTCACAGATGACCCAGCAATTTTCATTGGGTGAAAAAAAAAATGGTTGAAATCCTAAAGAACAAGTGTCTATTTTTTTTTCCTGTAAATAGCCATGCAACCAAACCTCAGCAAGCAACATGCTATTTCTGAAGGGTCTCCTGAAAATTTTCCAGAAACAAAAGATGAGCAAATGAGATGCAGAGTAAGAAGATAAAGTATTATTTGTTCTATCTATTAAATGTAAAAAGCTTTCTCTTTGAGTTGCAATAAAAAATAAAGTAAGCTACTTGAAAAAAAGAATTTTACATAAGTGACTTTAGACATTGAGAGAATAATTCTGAAGTGCTTCTGTGAAAAATATACTTGTTCTAAGATACCTGGAAATAAATTATTTCTCTTTTTCTTCTAGTCATTGTAAATATCTTATCTTAAGGAGCTGAAGGTATTTTGCTACCAGTCCTAGAGAAAGACGATAGGTAAGAAAATTACAGTGGGGCTGAACCTTCATGCATGGCACTTGGGGACCCCCACTACATTAGTTAAATGGTATAATTTCCATTGTTTTGTAAGGTGGTTTAGTTAATGTCTTCTGTTACTTGTTGACAGAAGCATCCTGATGCCGAATATGTCACCGGAAATATGCTGCCACAAGTAACAGACTTTAAAACACTAAATTGGCAGAGGAGAGGAGATAAAGCAAGGATAAAGACAATTTGCTCTATTCTTCAAATCTTAGTGGTTAATTACCCTTTTTCGTGTGTGGTTCTGAAGCACTTGGCTAAATGCTTGCCCATTTGGGAAACTGACAGAAAATTTTCAGAACATTGGTGTTTTGGCTACTTCTTGCAGCTTTCAGTTAGGTATTTCAAGAAAGAGTTATGCTTAGGCTAAAGCTGATCTATCAGAAGGCAGAGAAAGAATAAAATACAATTCTGCCTGAAGAGGTTTTGGGCTATAATCTAAATTGCTTTAAAGTTCAATAATTTGGAAATTTGGGGGACTGGAAAAGCCAAATTTTCTACTCAAGCCATAGATAAAGCAAGCAGAGATGGGATAATGGATACTGGGCAGAATATTTGATTAAAGTAAAAAGAAATCCTACAACCCCAGATTTCTAGCAAACACCTCCAGTTAGGCATTATTCATCTAGTAAAGGAGACAATCTTGTTTTAAAAATGCAGTTAGAAGGAACACATAATATATGTGTCTTCTGACTTCAGGCTATTCTTTTGATTCCGTTCATGGCAGAGGTCATTAAATGATAATGATGACAGGGTCGAGAGAGAGGGGTGGATGAAGCTCTGAGGCCTGTGGCTAAAACTAGACTTCCCAGAATAAATAACTTGCTGGATAAGCTCTCTGCCTAGGTTACCAGTCCGTGGAGCTGAACTCCAGTGAGCTAGAAGCCAAATAAATTCTTAAGGGAACTACAATATCAAGGTAACTGTAAGCCTCACCAAGAGTAAGATCCCATAATTAAACCAATTAAATAATTAAACCAGCTCACCAAACCCACTCAATAGGAAGGGGCCTGTTAAAAATGTGCAATCTCAAAGTGAGGCATTTTTCCACATCCCCATTCCCTGAATTTCGATATGGGCAAGAAAGTTGTTACCATCTCAGCTTTCATCAAATACAACTGTCAGATTTGCAGAATAAGGGATTTAGTTGACTATCAAACCAAAAGTATTCACGTTTCCAGCAAAATAGAAAATGTGCTATAAATCAGTATCGCGGTTTGATTTTCCAATGTTTTGAGTAAGAGTGTTCATGTAAGTTGTCTTTCCTGTTTTCCAATTACCAAAAGTTGGGCAGAGAGTGAAACACTTCTTCACCAGACAATAAACAGTTACTGTCTAAATTGATGGAAAGGACTTCACCGAACACAGAGACCCTAAACTTGAGCTGAGGGTCTTACATATGTCTGTGTTTTCCCATTCTGGAGAATGTGTATTTAGTGAGCATGGACATTTTTTAAATGCCTATGGGTGGAAAGAATGTGTGTTTATATGCTGGGTACCTAAAAGTGTGACCTATATGGTGTCTTTGATTGGCACTCTAATAATATCCATTACATCCTTAAATTAGTAATAATTTTTGCTTTCTAGTATATTTTGTAGGAATTGGATAATTCTGAAAAATCTACCAGGGTCACAGGAAAATTTCCTTGATTCCAAGAAGAAAACAGAGTGGCAGTTCCTCTTTTTCTTTGATATGGCTGAGTCTGGAAGTGTTGCTTGGAAACACTGCTGCCATCTTGTTCTAGCCTGAAGTTGATGTGATCACCAGCAAACAGAAGGCAGAATATTGGAAAGAGCCTGAGTTCTAGATGATATGACTAGCCACAGATTGTTATATGCCTGAAGCTCATTCTAACTCAGGACTACCCTAGAAGTTGAGGTTTTCTGTGACTTGCAGATCAAAACATCCTATGCTATATAGTAGATTATTAGTGAGTGGAATTGTGTCCAAATTTCAAATATTTAGTCCATTTTCACACTGCTGATAAAGACATACCCGAGACTGGGTAATTTATACAGGAAAAAGGGATTAATGGACTTACAGTTCCATGTGGCTGGAAAGGCCTCACAATCATGGCGGAAGGCAAGGAGGAGCAAGTCACGCCTAACATGGATGGCACCTGGCAAAGAGACAGCTTGTGCAAGAGTCCACCCCCGCCCCACCGCTTATAATAACCATCGATCTTGTGAAACTTACTCACTATCACGAGAACAGTGTGGGAAATATCTGCCCCCATGATTCAATTATCCCCCACCAGGTCCTTCCCACAACAGGTGGGAATTCAAGGTGAGATTTAGGTGGGGACACAGCCAAACCATATCAACAACCATATGCTTATTACTCTTATACAACTAATTATATTAATGAATAACTCTAACCTTTTTATTGCTTTCTATGTTTCCATTAAAATGTTATATGCTTCCTGGCTCAGTATTTGTAGAAAAATTCTATAAATAATTCACAAGCATAATTTAAAGCATAAAGTGTAAATAAATCATAGGCATTTAAAAATTCCTTCTAAGTACTCATAAACTTAAACACAAGGCTTAAACAGTAAGGACAAAAATAATGAATAGCATGTTATTTTTTAATTGGATATAATATGGCAGACACTATACTAGTTATGCCATTTGATCCTCAGAAGATATGGATATTTATAATCTCATTTTAGAAATAAGATAATTACATCTCAAAGAAGTTAAATAAAACTTATATTTCAAACCTAATTCTCTCTGATTCTATTGCTCATTATTTCCTAGATACAATTTTTTGAAGCAAATTAGTATATCCCAAAATAAAGTGAAACAAAATAGACACAATCTGTTATTGCATAAAACTGTAACTATGATAACAACTTTTCTAATTTTGACAATGTCATAAGAATGTTTCAAATTTTGAAAGGTGATGTGAGGCCGTTAATTCAAAACACAACTCAATCAACCTCAGAGCATTCTCTAGAGTACAAACAAAACAAAACATGACAGGCTTGAAGCCATGGGAAGGCATCTTTTGTATAATTGCTATTAACCTCTGAAGGCTTAGAAATATGTTAGAGGAGAAGATTGAAAAAAAAGATAATTATTTTGTTCCATTCCTCTTTCAGTCAAGGAAACATGGCTCAAAAGACAATTTTAGACTATTGTCAGACATACAATCCCTCATTAGTTTACTACTTGAGACATTATCTTTTTTTTTAAATTTAGCAAAACTAAAAATCTCCATTTTAAAGAAAAACTACCTTTTCTTGATTTAAATAGGTATGCTATTTTCTTTTTGTCAGTTTAAAAATAAAATTATAATTAATCATTACAGCAGAAAATTGTTTTAAATACATATGTTTGTTGAATAAAAAGATGTTGGGTCCAAATCAATTTAATTAGAGCTTGTCTATTTTAAAGCCATTTTCGTTTTACAAAGTCATTAATTTCTTTTGCAAGTTCTTTTCATAATTAAGCTTTTTAGCAATTGGTAAGATTTTTTAAAAGTACAACTTAAAATGACTCAGGTTAAGGAGAGCCAATTCACCATTTTTGCTATGTATTTAACTAGATTATGATTTATAGAGGGTATATAAGATGGATTAACTTAAGAGTAATATGATTGCTGTTAGTAGCAAAATAGCTTGAGCTCTTTAAGACAGGATATTTACAATGACTAGAAGAGAAAGGGGCATAATTTCTTTCTACATATCTTAGATATGAGTGTATTTTTTCATAGAAGCACTTTAAGATTCTCTCTATGTCTAAAGTCAATACAGTAAGATTCTTCTTTCTCAAGTAGCTTATTTTATTTCTTATTGCAACTTAAAGGGAAAGTTTTTACATTTAATAAATAGAATAAATAATTATTTCATCTTCGTACTCTGCTTCTTAATCTCTCATCTTTTCTTCCTGGCAAATTTCCAGGAGACTCTTCAGAAATATCAGTATGTTGCTTGCTGCAGTTTGGTTGCATGGCTGTTCACAGGATAAAAATGGCACTTGTTCTTTAGGCTTTCAATCATGTTTTTCACCCATTGCCAGTAGGCAATGCAGTCATTTATTGCCATTTCATGTCCAAAAATAACCTGAGAAAGATTATCTTTTTCTGTCAATGTAAAAACATTAATTAAAATTCTTTTAAAATTTAAGAATTAAATTTATTTACAAATTTAGAGCTATTTAGTGATTAATAAATCTGAGTTTATACAGTAACACCCATGTATTCACCAAATTCTGAGAATTTACACAAACTATTATATATGTTCAAGGACAAAAGAGCCACATGGATCTTGGTAGATATTATTAGTGCACAACAAGAAGCACTTCTTTTTTCTGTCAAGGCACAGGAAAGATTGTTTTCCCATTATCCTTGGTTAGTGGAGTTATGAGACCCTGAATGACTTTACGGAACAGAGCCCTGGCTCCATAATTGATATTTTAGAAAAAAAAATAAAAGGTAAGTAAACTTTTGTTATATGAAACCACTGAGATTTTGTGTTAATATGTTATTGACATAATCCACCTGAACTTAACTAATACAGGTCCTTTGGAGAAATAAATCTATAAAATATTAAGACATGGGGAAAAGGAAAGCATTCACCAGGCCATGATATACTATATCTGGTAAAAAGTGCCTTCTTATCATTTTACACAAAATTTTAAAAATGATCTGAAAAGGATCTAATTAAGCCACTAATAAATTTTAAGTCTAATGAGTGTCTTTTTTTTTCTTTTTTTTTAATAGGGTATGAGCACAATTCATGATGAATCAATATAAGCGGAATTATTATAATTTATAAGTATAAAGTGGATTTGTTTGTAAACTCATTCTAGGAAGAACTCTCCAAGATGATTTACCTACACCATGTTTGCCAAATCAGAGTAAAGACATAATTTAGGACATCAAAAGTGGTAGGAGAAAGCTTGCTTCACACTTGCTCAACAGCAAGCACTTGTAGTTTAGCAAAATATAGAAACATAAAAAAAAAAGTTATTTTTTTTTCTTTCAGTCTGGGACCAGAAATAGTGGACAAGTAGAGAATTATTTTTGTTTTCTTACGGCAATACTAGAAAATCAAAAACATTAGATATTTCTTCCTTTTGTTATATTTCCCAAGGTGGTAAACACCCAATATGAATGTAAAAATTTACCATTTTTCTGAGTTCTGTGAAGACTGTATAATTATCAATTCTTAAATCAGTCCACAAATAAACATGTGTTACCACATGGTATAAGATAAAAACACGAGGGAGGAGCCAAGATGGCCGAATAGGAACAGCTCCGGTCTACAGCTCCCAGCGTGAGCGACGCAGAAGACGGTGATTTCTGCATTTCCATCTGAGGTACCGGGTTCATCTCACTAGGGAGTGCCAGACAGTGGGCGCAGGCCAGTGTGTGTGCGCACCGTGCGCGAGCCGAAGCAGGGCGAGGCATTGCCTCACCTGGGAAGCGCAAGGGGTCAGGGAGTTCCCTTTTCGAGTCAAAGAAAGGGGTGACGGACGCACCTGGAAAATCGGGTCACTCCCACCCGAATATTGCGCTTTTCAGACCGGCTTAAGAAACGGCGCACCACGAGACTATATCCCACACCTGGCTCGGAGGGTCCTACGCCCACGGAATCTCGCTGATTGCTAGCACAGCAGTCTGAGATCAAACTGCAAGGCGGCAACGAGGCTGGGGGAGGGGCGCCCGCCATTGCCCAGGCTTGCTTAGGTAAACAAAGCAGCCGGGAAGCTCGAACTGGGTGGAGCCCACCACAGCTCAAGGAGGCCTGCCTGCCTCTGTAGGCTCCACCTCTGGGGGCAGGGCACAGACAAACAAAAAGACAGCAGTAACCTCTGCAGACTTAAGTGTCCCTGTCTGACAGCTTTGAAGAGAGCAGTGGTTCTCCCAGCACGCAGCTGGAGATCTGAGAACGGGCAGACTGCCTCCTCAAGTGGGTCCCTGACTCCTGACCCCCGAGCAGCCTAACTGGGAGGCACCCCCCAGCAGGGGCACACTGACACCTCACACGGCAGGGTATTCCAACAGACCTGCAGCTGAGGGTCCTGTCTGTTAGAAGGAAAACTAACAACCAGAAAGGACATCTACACCGAAAACCCATCTGTACATCACCATCATCAAAGACCAAAAGTAGATAAAACCACAAAGATGGGGAAAAAACAGAACAGAAAAACTGGAAACTCTAAAACGCAGAGCGCCTCTCCTCCTCCAAAGGAACGCAGTTCCTCACCAGCAACAGAACAAAGCTGGATGGAGAATGATTTTGACGAGCTGAGAGAAGAAGGCTTCAGACGATCAAATTACTCTGAGCTACGGGAGGAAATTCAAACCAAAGGCAAAGAAGTTGAAAACTTTGAAAAAAATTTAGAAGAATGTATAACTAGAATAACCAATACAGAGAAGTGCTTAAAGGAGCTGATGGAGCTGAAAACCAAGGCTCGAGAACTACGTGAAGAATGCAGAAGCCTCAGGAGCCGATGCGATCAACTGGAAGAAAGGGTATCAGCAATGGAAGATGAAATGAATGAAATGAAGCGAGAAGGGAAGTTTAGAGAAAAAAGAATAAAAAGAAATGAGCAAAGCCTCCAAGAAATATGGGACTATGTGAAAAGACCAAATCTACGTCTGATTGGTGTACCTGAAAGTGATGTGGAGAATGGAACCAAGTTGGAAAACACTCTGCAGGATATTATCCAGGAGAACTTCCCCAATCTAGCAAGGCAGGCCAACGTTCAGATTCAGGAAATACAGAGAACGCCACAAAGATACTCCTCGAGAAGAGCAACTCCAAGACACATAATTGTCAGATTCACCAAAGTTGAAATGAAGGAAAAAATGTTAAGGGCAGCCAGAGAGAAAGGTCGGGTTACCCTCAAAGGAAAGCCCATCAGACTAACAGCGGATCTCTCGGCAGAAACCCTACAAGCCAGAAGAGAGTGGGGGCCAATATTCAACATTCTTAAAGAAAAGAATTTTCAACCCAGAATTTCATATCCAGCCAAACTAAGCTTCATAAGTGAAGGAGAAATAAAATACTTTATAGACAAGCAAATGTTGAGAGATTTTGTCACCACCAGGCCTGCCCTAAAAGAGCTCCTGAAGGAAGCGCTAAACATGGAAAGGAACAACCGGTACCAGCCGCTGCAAAATCATGCCAAAATGTAAAGACCATCGAGACTAGGAAGAAACTGCATCAACTAATGAGCAAAATCACCAGCTAACATCATAATGACAGGATCAAATTCACACATAACAATATTAACTTTAAATATAAATGGACTAAATTCTGCAATTAAAAGACACAGACTGGCAAGTTGGATAAAGAGTCAAGACCCATCAGTGTGCTGTATTCAGGAAACCCATCTCACGTGCAGAGACACACATAGGCTCAAAATAAAAGGATGGAGGAAGATCTACCAAGCCAATGGAAAACAAAAAAAGGCAGGGGTTGCAATCCTAGTCTCTGACAAAACAGACTTTAAACCAACAAAGATCAAAAGAGACAAAGAAGGCCATTACATAATGGTAAAGGGATCAATTCAACAAGAGGAGCTAACTATCCTAAATATTTATGCACCCAATACAGGAGCACCCAGATTCATAAAGCAAGTCCTCAGTCACCTACAAAGAGACTTAGACTCCCACACATTAATAATGGGAGACTTTAACACCCCACTGTCAACATTAGACAGATCAACGAGACAGAAAGTCAACAAGGATACCCAGGAATTGAACTCAGCTCTGCACCAAGCAGACCTAATAGACATCTACAGAACTCTCCACCCCAAATCAACAGAATATACATTTTTTTCAGCACCACACCACACCTATTCCAAAATTGACCACATAGTTGGAAGTAAAGCTCTCCTCAGCAAATGTAAAAGAACAGAAATTATAACAAACTATCTCTCAGACCACAGTGCAATCAAACTAGAACTCAGGATTAAGAATCTCACTCAAAGCCGCTCAACTACATGGAAACTGAACAACCTGCTCCTGAATGACTACTGGGTACATAACGAAATGAAGGCAGAAATAAAGATGTTCTTTGAAACCAACGAGAACAAAGACACCACATACCAGAATCTCTGGGACGCATTCAAAGCAGTGTGTAGAGGGAAATTTATAGCACTAAATGCCTACAAGAGAAAGCAGGAAAGATCCAAAATTGACACCCTAACATCACAATTAAAAGAACTAGAAAAGCAAGAGCAAACACATTCAAAAGCTAGCAGAAGGCAAGAAATAACTAAAATCAGAGCAGAACTGAAGGAAATAGAGACACAAAAAACCCTTCAAAAAATCAATGAATCCAGGAGCTGGTTTTTTGAAAGGATCAACAAAATTGATAGACCGCTAGCAAGACTAATAAAGAAAAAAAGAGAGAAGAATCAAATAGACACAATAAAAAATGATAAAGGGGATATCACCACCGATCCCACAGAAATACAAACTACCATCAGAGAATACTACAAACACCTCTACGCAAATAAACTAGAAAATCTAGAAGAAATGGATACATTCCTCGACACATACACTCTCCCAAGACTAAACCAGGAAGAAGTTGAATCTCTGAATCGACCAATAACAGGCTCTGAAATTGTGGCAATAATCAATAGTTTACCAACCAAAAAGAGTCCAGGACCAGATGGATTCACAGCCGAATTCTACCAGAGGTACAAGGAGGAACTGGTACCATTCCTTCTGAAACTATTCCAATCAATAGAAAAAGAGGGAATCCTCCCTAACTCATTTTATGAGGCCAGCATCATTCTGATACCAAAGCCGGGCAGAGACACAACCAAAAAAGAGAATTTTAGACCAATATCCTTGATGAACATTGATGCAAAAATCCTCAATAAAATACTGGCAAACCGAATCCAGCAGCACATCAAAAAGCTTATCCACCATGATCAAGTGGGCTTCATCCCTGGGATGCAAGGCTGGTTCAATATACGCAAATCAATAAATGTAATCCAGCATATAAACAGAGCCAAAGACAAAAACCACATGATTATCTCAATAGATGCAGAAAAAGCCTTTGACAAAATTCAACAACCCTTCATGCTAAAAACTCTCAATAAATTAGGTATTGATGGGATGTATTTCAAAATAATAAGAGCTATCTATGACAAACCCACAGCCAATATCATACTGAATGGGCAAAAACTGGAAGCATTCCCTTTGAAAACTGGCACAAGACAGGGATGCCCTCTCTCACCGCTCCTATTCAACATAGTGTTGGAAGTTCTGGCCAGGGCAATCAGGCAGGAGAAGGAAATAAAGGGTATTCAATTAGGAAAAGAGGAAGTCAAATTGTCCCTGTTTGCAGACGACATGATTGTTTATCTAGAAAACCCCATCGTCTCAGCCCAAAATCTCCTTAAGCTGATAAGCAACTTCAGCAAAGTCTCAGGATACAAAATCAATGTACAAAAATCACAAGCATTCTTATACACCAACAACAGACAAACAGAGAGCCAAATCATGGGTGAACTCCCATTCACAATTGCTTCAAAGAGAATAAAATACCTAGGAATCCAACTTACAAGGGATGTGAAGGACCTCTTCAAGGAGAACTACAAACCACTGCTCAAGGAAATAAAAGAGGAGACAAATAAATGGAAGAACATTCCATGCTCATGGGTAGGAAGAATCAATATCGTGAAAATGGCCATACTGCCCAAGGTAATTTACAGATTCAATGCCATCCCCATCAAGCTACCAATGACTTTCTTCACAGAATTGGAAAAAACTACTTTAAAGTTCATATGGAACCAAAAAAGAGCCCGCATCGCCAAGTCAATCCTAAGCCAAAAGAACAAAGCTGGAGGCATCACACTACCTGACTTCAAACTATACTACAAGGCTACAGTAACCAAAACAGCATGGTACTGGTACAAAAACAGAGATATAGATCAATGGAACAGAACAGAGCCCTCAGAAATAATGCCGCATATCTACAACTATCTGATCTTTGACAAACCTGAGAAAAACAAGCAATGGGGAAAGGATTCCCTATTTAATAAATGGTGCTGGGAAAACTGGCTAGCCATATGTAGAAAGCTGAAACTGGATCCCTTCCTTACACCTTATACAAAAATCAATTCAAGATGGATTAAAGATTTAAATGTTAAACCTAAAACCATAAAAACCCTAGAAGAAAACCTAGGCATTACCATTCAGGACATAGGCGTGGGCAAGCACTTCATGTCCAAAACACCAAAAGCAATGGCAACAAAAGACAAAATTGACAAATGGGATCTAATTAAACTAAAGAGCTTCTGCACAGCAAAAGAAACTACCATCAGAGTGAACAGGCAACCTACAACATGGGAGAAAATTTTTGCAACCTACTCATCTGACAAAGGGCTAATATCCAGAATCTACAATGAACTCAAACAAATTTACAAGAAAAAAACAAACAACCCCATCAAAAAGTGGGCGAAGGACATGAACAGACACTTCTCAAAAGAAGACATTTATGCAGCCAAAAAACACATGAAGAAATGCTCATCATCACTGGCCATCAGAGAAATGCAAATCAAAACCACTATGAGATATCATCTCACACCGGTTAGAATGGCAATCATTAAGAAGTCAGGAAACAACAGGTGCTGGAGAGGATGCGGAGAAATAGGAACACTTTTACACTGTTGGTGGGACTGTAAACTAGTTCAACCATTGTGGAAGTCAGTGTGGCGATTCCTCAGGGATCTAGAACTAGAAATACCATTTGACCCAGCCATCCCATTACTGGGTATATACCCAAATGAGTATAAATCATGCTGCTATAAAGACACATGCACACGTATGTTTATTGCGGCACTATTCACAATAGCAAAGACTTGGAACCAACCCAAATGTCCAACAATGATAGACTGGATTAAGAAAATGTGGCACATATACACCATGGAATACTATGCAGCCATAAAAATTGATGAGTTCATATCCTTTGTAGGGACATGGATGAAATTGGAAACCATCATTCTCAGTAAACTATCGCAAGAACAAAAAACCAAACACCGCATATTCTCACTCATAGGTGGGAATTGAACAATGAGATCACATGGACACAGGAAGGGGAATATCACACTCTGGGGACTGTGGTGGGGTCGGGGGAGGGGGGAGGGATAGCATTGGGAGATATACCTAATGCTAGATGACACATTAGTGGGTGCAGCGCACAAGCATGGCACATGTATACATATGTAACTAACCTGCACAATGTGCACATGTACCCTAAAACTTAGAGTATAATAAAAAAAAAAAAAAAAAAAAAAAAAAAAAAACACATAAAAAAAAAAAAAAAAAAACCACCAACCCAAGCCAAAAAAAAAAAAAAAAAAAAAAAAGATAAAAACACACATACTATATAAATTTTAGATCATGTGTGTTAACAAAGTTTTCAAATACATCAACATCAAAATATGTCAGTACAGGCAAAAAAAAATTGGTCTACCCATAAGATATACACTAACATTAGAAATCATAAAATTGAGTTCAACATACTTAAAATACAAAAAATACCAATTTGATTTCAAACTAATATTTTGTGAATCCACAAAATAAACTCAGCTATAACTAGCTGTACAATACACATTTACTAGACATATAGTAATATAGAATATTTTTTTCTTGCATCCTTACAAAGCACACTCTCTACATGTGATTAAAAAAACATGCATTTTCTCTTAAAGCACATATTATTTCTAGATTGAAATAAGCCTTGCAACTGTAAGTAATTGTTTATAAATAATAGTTGATATTTATTGACTATTTTGACAGATCTTCTCTTTCACTTTTTCTGTCTCTCTGAAAACTCCTTTTATCCTCGTCACAGTCTTATGAGGTAAAGCACTATTAATAATCACTATTCATCAATGACGAAAATGAAATGAGAAAGGATGAGGTAACTTGTTCAAGGTCACAATGATGATAGTAAATGGCCATGCTGTGATTTGAACCCTGGCAGTCTGGTTTCAGACACTGTGCATCCATATTTACTAAGCATATGCTGCATTTACTGAATCACCCACTGAAAAATAGTCATAATAATGTGACACAATAATATTTTCATTATAAAATGCAACTGCTCTACTTTCCTCCTGGGTCAGGAGGGTCTTTGTTTCTTGGGGGTGAAATCACCAATGAACTCAACAATGTGTTCCCCTCCTGTAATACTTATAAAAACCAGTACCACTCATGTGCAGAAAATGTGCACATTTTCTTACATGCTATAAAAAAAGGAGAGAAGCCTGAAAGAGACATTGTCAAAGGGCATCAGTGAAGATCCTTAAACATAACAGGAATGTGACCTCAAACAACCTAGAGACTATCTGTGGATTGAATGTATTAAATAATTTTTTAGTGAACATAAATATATATGTATATATATTTTTAAAGGTCAATTTTAATTTTTGTTTGGTAATAAAACAATGCCGTCAGGAGTCACCTAAGTGGCAGGATTGTTTCTTCCCATTAGAAAAGCCGAATGACTGTCCATTTCATCCTACTCTCTCTCCTCCCCTCTTTTACACTTCTCCATCTGCTTTTTGTAAGTATTGTCGCTTCTCTCAGTGTCAGACTTGACAACTGTCCCTTCATCATGCTAGAGTCAGCATCTCTGTCTCCAATAAGATGCCTGCTCTCAGATAAGGTACAATCTGCTGTGGGATTTCAAACTATATAACTGGGTCAGAAATAAGAGTAAATGATTCCTCTGGGGCCTAAAGAATCCCATCATAAGTAGTGCAAGGACAAAGAAAAATTTAAAATATGAAGCATAATTCTCTCTATTGAAAAAAACAGATTTCCCTCCTCTCCATTTTCTTAGAAAGCTTGTAATACTAAGTACTTTCTCCTCCTTTAAAACATATATAAATCCTTTACAAAGCTAAATAGGCCTTTTGTCAGTCTTATGACCTAGGAATGTCTTAAGGGCTTGCACATCATCTCCTTGAAATGTCAACATCAAGAGAGTTAGCATCCATATCTCCCAGCTTCTGTGGGAAGGTAGGACCTAACTCAAAAACTGCCTTCTGTCATAAGGATATAAGAAGTTTGTTTCTCCTCTGGATAACACCAATTAGTTAACATAGATGGTCACCCCAATTACTGGCTAAATTTATAATGAACTATGCCTGACAAGTGGTACTAAGTCCTTTTTATTTGAGGACTAGATGTTATGTATCTTAAAAACGTATGTATAATGGGTTGTATCTGCTTGACTACATAAAAGAGCAAAGTTGCTGTTTTTGCAATCTTTTAGTGAAGAGATTTGCCTATGATGTTCACCACATTCTGGTTTAACTCTTACTCAATAATACAGATGTGTTCTTTACCTGCTACCTTTGTGGAGAGGATTTCTAGGTTGGGAGAGTATTTTGTTTTTAATTATATTTACCTAGCAGAAGGATCCATGTGCCTCAACTGGCACAGTATTTTCTGCCCTTCATTGTGACTGGCAGGAGTTATTTTATTGTTTTCAAATACTATTGATCCACATTATGTTTTACTTATTTTAAGTTTGGGGATAAGTGGCCGCCCAACAAATGGGATGTGCTTTATATGCACAGGTATGTGAGTACACAAAGTTTATACAGCATTCCATAGAAGTAAGATATTCTATACAGGTGAATTTCCCAGAGAAGGGACACTTAAAAGTTTAAGTTTAAACATAATTTTCAAGCTCAAATAGCATACCTTAAGATATATATAAATAATGGCACTAATAGTTGAGCCTTTCTCTGTTCCATAATAGTTGAATATTGAATATTGTTTTAGTACATAACTCATTGTACATAAATACAATTGTACCTCATTTTATTTGCATCACTTTATTGTGCTTTTTACAAATTGAAGGTTTGTGGCAACCCTGTTTCCAGCAAATCTATTGGGGCCATTTTTCCAATAACTTATGCTCACTTTTGTGTTTCTGTGTCACATTTTGGTAATTCTCATAATATTTCAAAGTTTTAAAATTATTATTATATCTGTTACGATGATACGTGGTCAGTGATCTTTGATGTTACTTTACTACTGTAATTTTTTTGGTGTACCACACACCACAGCCACATAAAATGGCAAACTTAATTGATAAATATTGTGTGTGTCTGATTCCTCCACTGATTGGTCATTCTCTAGTCTCTGACCATCTCGTTGGATCTCCCTATTTCCTGAAACACAACAATATTTAAATTATGCCAATTAATCATGCTACAATGGCGTCTAAGTGTTCAAGTGAAAGGAAGAGTTACAATTTCTCTCACCCTAAATTAAATGCTACAAATGATTTAGCTCAGTGAGGAAGTCATGTCTAAAACTGAGACAAGCCAAAAGCTAGGTCTCTTGCACAAAATAGCCAAGTTGTGAAAGCAAAGAAAACATTCCTGAAGGAAATTAAAAGTACTACTCTAGTGAATGCATAAATAATAAGAAAGTGAAACAGCCTTATTGCTGGTGCAGAAAAAGTTGTGATCTCAATAGAAGATCAAACCAGCCATAACATTCCCTTAAACCAAGGCCTAATCCACAACAAGGCCCTTAATCTCTTCAATTCTATGAAGGCTAAAAGAAGTGAGGAAACTGCAGAAGAAAAACTGGAAGCTAGCAAAGGTTGATTCATGATGTTTAAGGAAAGAAGCCATAACATAAAAGTGAAAGGTGAAGCAGTAAGTGTTGATGAAGATGCTGCAGCAAGTTATCCAGAAGATCTAGCTAAGATAATTGATAAAGGTGGCTATGCTAAATAACAGATTTTCTGGAGGAGAAGTCAAGGGCTGGCTTCAAAGCTTCCAAGGACAGGCTGACTCTCTTGGAGGCTAACACAGCTGAGGATTTTAAGTTGAAGCCAATGCTCATTTACCCTTCTTAAAGTTCTAGGGTCCTTAAGAATTATGCTAAATCTACTCTGCCCATGCTCAATTAATGAAACAACAAAGCATGGATAACAACATATCTGTTTAATGACATGGCTCACTGAATATTCTTTAAGCCCACTGTTGAGACCTACTCCTTAGAAAATAAGATTCCTTTCAAAATATTACTACGTGTTGAACAATGCATCTAGTTATCTAAGACTCTCTGATGGAGATGGACAAGCAGATTAATGTTGTTTTTATGTCTTCTAATACAACATATCTTCTGCAGCCCATGGATCAAGAAGGAATTTTGATTTTCAAGAGTTATTATTTTAAAAATACATTTCCTAAGGCCATAGCTCTCATAGATAGTGATTCCTCTGATGAATCTAGGCAAAATAAATTAAAAACCTTCTGGAAAGGATTCAGCATTTTAGATGCCACTAAGAACATTCTTAATTCATGGGAGGAAGTCAAAATATCAACATTAACAGGAGTTTGGATTCCAACCCTCATAAATGACTTTGAAAGGTTCAAGACTTCAAAGACTTCAGGAGAGGAAGTAACAGCAGATGTGATGGAAATATAACAAAAGAACCAGAATTAGATGTGACTGAATTTCTGTAATATCATGATAAAACTTGAATAGATGAGGAGTTGCTTCTTACAGATGAGCAGAAAAAGTGTTTCCTTGGGAGGAAATCTACTTCTGCTGAAGATGCTGTGAACACTGTTGAAAGGACAAGAAAAGTTTTGGAATATGACATAAACTTAGTTGATAAAGCAGCAGCAGAGTTTGAGAGGATGGACTCTAATTTTCAAAGTTCTACTCTGGGTAAAATGCTACCAAACAGCATCACGTGCTACAGAGAAATCTTTTATGAATGGAAGAGTCAATTAATGTGGCACACTTCATTATCCTATTTTAAGAAATTGTCACAGCCATCGCAACCTTCAGTAGCCATCACCCTTATCAGCAGCCATCAACATCAAGGCAAGACTCTCCATCAGTAAAAAGATTATGACTCTGTTTAGGCTCAGGTGACCATTAGAACTCTTTAGCAATAAAGTATTTTTAATTAAGATATGTACATGGTTTCTTAGACATAATTTTATAACAGACTTAATAGGCTGCAGCATACTATAAACATAATTTTTACATGTACTGGGAAACCAAACATTGTGTGTAACTCACTTTATTAAGATATTTGCTTTGCTGTGGCATCTGGAACCAAATTCTCAGTATCTCTAAGGTATGACTGTATTGGTATACTTGACTCTTGCCCCCAGAGATTTTGACCTCTTCCTGGATAAAGGAGGAGGGCATGTATTTTTTTTAAATATATTAATAATAGTTCACTATTACTTTTCAGTAGCTAACAGGTACTCAGTGACAGTTTAATGATTGAACATTGTGAAATTAAATTAAATATGTCTATGGTCTTGATTAACCAATAATATCTACTGAACAGTTTAAGTGTTCTGGCCACACTCTCTTTATTTGATCCAGCTGCTGTGAGTGTTGGCTGCTGATAGTTCATAGTTGCCCCCTTCTTTGGAGAATTTCCCTTTGCCTACCAGAAGTTCTTTCCCCTAACAGATTGCTAACCTGCTTTTCCAACATCGATAAAGAATACATGGAGGTACAAAATGCCAGCCCCTTTGCCTCAAGGTGGGGACAATTATATGGTAAAAGTCATGCTCCTTCTTATCCCCATGAGATATGGCTGAATCTAGACTGCAGTGAAAACCACCTTCTTGCTTTAGTGAATTCCCCTGAACTTTCTCACTTCCCTCACTCCCTTTATCTTGAGAAAATACCGTCAATAAATATGGGCAACTGAAATCCTGTCTCAACGTCTGCTTCTAGGGATCCCAACCTGAGATACAACGTATGAGTGAGAAAATTCACAAAGAACAGTAAGCAATAATGTGAACATTTTCTTAAACTTGGCATCTTTAGTATTCAATTCGAGACTTTAATAGATTCCATCTCATTAAAAGAACTCTACTAGCTGCTTTTGCATAAACAATGAGAATCTTCTTAAATTAAGACATGACATGAAAATGTTATCATGTGCAAGCTAGAGATCATAATTGTGGAATAGGTTCATTCATGAATGATTTTTCTCATAGCCCTATTACTGTATCACTGTATTTGTTTACATGCTCTAAGATAATCCAATCTAAAAGCATTTTAGACATTTTGGCAAATATCCTTCAAAAAAGCCATATTATTAATCTGCAACAATAAGCAAAGATCCTCATTTAAAAAAAGTTTGACAAATATTTTAGAGCTCTTTTTTCTCATTGAACTTATATTAAAAGCATGTAAGTGCATGAGTATTAATACTTAATATAACTTATATCTACAAGCATATTTCCTCTCCTTCACATTTTTTTCTTCTACTAAAAAGGTTGAAGAGAGAACTCAAATGAAGGTGACATGATTCATTCACACCAACCTTTAGTCAACGACTCCTAAAACTTATCAAAAGTTCGACTCAATTGTTAGTTGCTTTTATTCCCTCCCCTAAACGATACCTTCCTCTACCAAGTTATAACATAACCAAACTTATCAAGCATAATGTGGTATATATTCTCTAAATAATGTTTACTTTAAAATAGCAAATAGATAACTTTCTTTACAGAGACTCTCTATAAACTACAGGAGGGATTCTATAGAGTATTAAAGCAGTCCAACCATCCTTATAGACCTACTATGGTGTTTGTCTTCTTTCCTATAAACAGGTTTTAAAATTTACACTTGAACATATTCTTAGAAATTTCCTCATTTTCTTCTCTTGTCTCATAGCTCTAGATTTTAGATTAATATGAGACCATATATTTTAATAAGTTTTTATTTTAAGAGAAAAATGCAATTATTGTAGAAAATTTGAGAAATTCAAAAGAAGCAGAAGAGAAAGAAGGAGATGACCACTCATTATACCTTTAGTCATTTCCTTCCAATATTTTCTATTTGTATCTGTGTGTTTCTAAAATATTCATTATTGGAGTTCACTATATTATATATTCCATACCCTACTTTTCCACTTAATATTTCCATTGTCTATCTGAAATATGAAAACAGAGTTTTGATTGCCAAGCTTCTGGTAATCTCTCTCTTCTTGGACTTCATTTGCTTTGCATTTCTCTTATGGCCCTTATTATATTATACCTTGTGCAATAATTATATGTGTACATGATTCATCCCCTTACTGTATTAGTACCTGGAGGCAGAAACTAAATCAAATACTTTTTTACATTTCCTAAAATAATTTTAAAAGTTTCTTATACACATCAATTGTTTTAAATAACCAGCAGTCCCAATCAAATTATGCCAAAGTGATAGTATTAATTTTCTAGTTGTGATTAGAAAAAGTTGATCTAAAAAATTCCCAAAATAACAATTTCCAAATGACTACTTGAAATCTGAAATAAATTCATATAGTAAAATCTCTCAAGGAATATTTAACTATTGTAATCAAGAAGCATTTGAAAATACATTTAACCTCATATACCTGGTATATGATTTTTCATATCCTTGTCAAATCATTCTTTTTTCTCTTATCAAAGCTCAGCATATAATACTCTGATGCATTTTGAATATTTTGTTCATAATAAATGAATTTTATGACATTCAATTCACATAGCATAAAAATGAGCATGTAAGTGGTTTTGAATTATCAATCGCGTAATTTGAACTAAATGGCAACAGGCTAATATTTTAAAAGATGGCTCTTTTTCTTAAAAAGTTTTTACTCTGCTGCAAATTTAATTGTACAAGGTTAATTCCCCATTGAAGGATGCTTGGAGGAGACAGCTAGAAAAGATACAGACAGTTTTCCAATAACAGAAGCCACAGTATATTTCTGCTGCTTCCCTACATGTGACAGTAGATATTTACTGTGACTACTATACCTAGAAAAATCATTTGACCTCCTCTGTTTTTAGCGACAGATACATTTCTCAAGAACACTGCTTCTAGAAGATTATGGCTGTTTTTATTAAAGAAAAAGTAATCCAACAGGCAAGTTTACATTACCAGGATTGGCATCTTTAGATCTACCAAAATCACTTAAACCATAACCTATTTTCCCAACAACTATTTTGACACAGCTCCACCATCACACACAAGCAATAATACCTAACTCTATGAGGTTAATACTGTGTTTCTTAAGTAGCATTATTGAACCAAATGACATACACAAAATTATTAAGTTTAGCATAGATTTTCAGTCTAAAAACTGTTTATTTGTCTTGCATAGAGTGTAATATTGAAATCTTTGGTAAGTAGGTAAAAAATCATAGCAATGACCATTAATAATAATAGCTAACACAATATTATTAATAATTCACAACACCAAAGACTTGGAACCAACCTAAATGCCCATCAATGATAGACTGGATAAAGAAAACGTGGCACATATACACCATGGGATACTATGCAACCATGAAAGAGTATGGGTTCATGTTCTTTGCAGGGACATGGATGAAGCTGGAAACCATCATTCTCAGCAAACTAACACAGGAACAGAAAACCAAACACTTCATGCTCTCACTCGTAAGTGGGAGTTGAACAATGAGAACACATGGACACAGGGAGGGGAACATCACCCACCGGGGCCTGTCAGGGAGTGGGGGGCTGGGGAGGGATAGCATTAGAAGAAATGTCTAATGTATATGATGGGTTGATGGGTGCAGCAAACCGCCATGGCACAGGTATACCTAGGTAACAAACCTGAATGTTCTGCACATGTATCCCAGAACTTAAAGTATAATAATAATAATAGTAGCTAACACTTAACAATGAGCCATGTACTCATTTAATCTTCACAATGACACAATGAAATGGCCACTAATGTCATTATTTCCACTGTGCAGCTGAGGAATCTGAAGCACAGAAAGTTTAAATGAATTGTTCAAAGTCAGAAGGACAGGATTGGAACCCATGAGCCCTTGTGCCACAGGCTGTATTCCTAACCACTATGGTGTACTGACTCTCAGAAACAAATGGCTGACTTGGACCTTACATGCTCCAGACTTCACAGAACCTGAAGTCGATTCGGTGTTAACTCTACCACTCTCTTCCAAAGACCATGCAGTTTTCAACAACTTGACTTTCTTTGCAGACCTCTTGATAACTAGTGAAAGAAATATATCCATTTCCAAGAGATTATTAGAGTTATTATTTTCTTTGTAAATCCATACTCAATTCACTTTGCCTTTCACCACTCTCTGCCATCTCTGTCTGACGCTCCCATGCCCATAATGTTCTTTGTGTTGTTTCTCCTGATACATTTCCCTGATTCCTCCTCTCCCCCACAAAATTTTCTACTTTACTCTTGGAAAATTTTTAACAAACTTCTCAACAGTATGAACTCTTTGAATGACTACTCAGTTCAATTTTTGACTTGGTGAAAATTGGCTCTCTCCAAAGTGCCAGGATTCCACTGAGTTCTGTCAGTTGAAGATAGCTTTTTCTTCAGCACGTGATAGGGCAATCTGGTGCATTTTCCTAATTATCACCACTCCATAGCCTGCAGTATTCCCCCAATCTGTGAGGCTCATGCTGGTATCATCCTCTACTCATCCTGTGTCTACTAATTGCCAACCTTTAGGTATTGCTAGAGATATGTCATTGACTTTAGTTTATCTCTTCACCACAACCATTTTTGGCTGATTAATGCCAAAATATACAGGCTAAAAAGCAAGTTAGCCACTCAGTTCACTGACCTCTTCATGTGCAGTAAAATTCAACCACCATGGTAGGCAGAATTTTAGCCCCATAATTTATGCCCATGGTGTCAAGCCTGTGACTATGTAACATAACATGGCAAAAAGGACTTAGTAATCAAGATTTAAATTAGTAATTCAAATTACTAATCAGTTAACTTTAAAATAGATTATCCAGAATCCCCTGTGTAGACTTAATATAATCATATAAACTTTGAAGAGCAAAGTTTTTTTTGCATCTAACGTATGAAAAGGAGAGTCAGAAGTGATGTGGCAGAGGGGGGATGTCAGGCAGATATGATAGGTGAAAAAGACTCCATGCACAACTGCCGGTTTGAAGATTGAGGGGGGCATGTGACAAGGAATGCAGAAGACCTTAAGAATATGACAGAGGCTCCAGGCCTGTAAGGAAATGGGGAAGTCAGCCAACAGCAACAAGGAAATGAATTATGCCAACAACCTGAATGAGCATGGAAACAGAGTCCCTTTTCCCACACCTCCCACTGTCAGAAGGTCCACATAAGAGCCCAAACTGCCAACACCTTGAAGACTGCCCTTTGAGATTTGCACCAGAGAAACCTCCCACATCTAAACTTCAGATCTATTTAACTGTGAGATAATAAGTTTGTGTTATTTTCAGTTTCTGGGTTTGTGGTAATTTGTTACAGCAGCAATAACAAACTAATACCCCACTGCTTTGTAAACTCTTGCCTCAGTGCCTTCAGATTAGCATTTCCCTCAGCTGGAAATATACTTCCTTTACCCCTCAAATCTCAGCATATGGCCGGAGGCGCTGGCTTATACCTGTAATCCCAGCACTTTGGGAGGCCGAGGCGGGTGGATCACGAGGTCAGGAGATCGAGACCATCCTGGCTAACACAGTGAAACCTCATCTCTACTAAAAATACAAAAAATTAGCCGGGCGAGGTGGCGGGTGCCTGTAGTCCCAGCTACTCAGGAGGCTGAGGCAGGAGAATGGCGTGAACTCTGGGGGCGGAGCCTGCAGTGAGCCGAGATCACGCCACTGCACTCCAGCCTGGGCGACAGCAAGACTCCGTCTCAAAAAAAAAAAAGAAAAAAAAATCTCAGCATATGTTTCAGTCCTTAGAACCTCTCCCTACCTCGAAATTACAGCCATATGTCACAAAGCGCAGAAAATACATGACATACAACACTTATAAGTATTTGTTTAATGTTTTTCTTCCCTGCTCTTCTGTTATAGCAAGGACCCCTACTATAGATATACTATATCCTACCACCTAATATAATCCTTAAACTTACTAGATACTCACTAAAATTGTACTGGATAATAATGTAATAGAAAGCCAAAAGTAATGGAAAAATAAGTTCACTAAACAAGGACTTGAATTTTTCAGGATTAAATGTTTAATATAGTAATCTTCGCAAACATCTACTTTTCCACAGAACTAAAATTCAATAAAAGCGTCTACTTTACGCCAAAAATTTATTTTGGTTTCATTTATTTATTTTCTTAATTATTTGAGACAGAGTTTCATTCTTATTGCCCAGGCTGGAGTGCAATGGTGTGATCTCGGCTCACCACAATCTCTGCCTCCTGGCTTCAAGCAATTCTCCTGCCTCAGCCTCCCGAGTCACTGGGATTACAGGCATGTGCCACCATTCCAGGCTAATTTTGTGTTTTTAGTAGAGATGGGGTTTCTCCATGTTGGTCAGGCTGGTCTGGAACTCCTGACCTCAGGTGATCCACCCGCCTTGGCCTCACAAAGTGCTGGGATTACAGGCGTGAGCTACCGTGCCTGGCCAATTAGTTTCTATTTCTAAACCAGCTTTGTAAATAGATATTTGTCAATTACCCAAGTATCTAAATTTATGAAATTATTTTATAATTATTATAACTATTAATGTGAACCACAAGGTAGTATGTTAAGGTAGAAAAATACAATGCTGATGAATTCTATTAACAAATTGCTTTAATGCTTTTGACAAAAAAAACTCCCTTTTCCGTTAGTATATAGTAGGAATTTGTGCCTTGTTTATCCTGTGAGAACACATTAACAAATTAAAATTTAATCTATGATTGAAAGTTTAAAGGAGACACACAAATCACAAAATTATATCATTACATTAAGTCCCATTTTGAATTGCTTGCCATCTAGCTGGAAATGTGTAATGAAATGAGAAGTCAATGTATTAGTAAATAACGAAGCACATAGAAAACATTTTATCCATTTTGTAATATTTCTATTATGAAATTTCTATCATACTCATACCATCAATATTTCAAATTAATCCTTTGACTCTTAAAAGCCGGTCTCATACATGAATGTGCCAAAACAGTTATTTGTATAAAATATCTTGTAAACTAAGTAGAGATTTTTTTTGTATAGAATTTCTTATTAACTAAATAGAGATTTTTTTAAAAGTATCTCCAAACTGAAAAACCAATTTTTATCTTTTAAATGGTAGTAGCAAACAGGTAACTTACATTCTTAAGCATTAGCTTCACTTTCATACAACTAGAAAATAATACAATTTTTATTTGTAGAATTGGAAACACTCATCCTTGACAAGTGAACCTATAAGTAACAATAACACACAATTACTCTCTATTTTGGTCATACAGATGGAACTAATAGCTAACCATCTGTTCATCTACAATATTGCAATGGGAAATAACATAACTGGCAAACATATGTTTTAGATTTGACTTATTTTTCACTAAAATATTGTAAAATAAATATTTGAAAAAATTGTGAAGAATAATAAAGTATAGGCTGGGTGTGGTAGTCGCACCTGTAATCCCAGCACTTTGGGAGGCCCACAGTATTGCTTGAACCCAGGGTTTAAGCTTGCAGTGAGCTATGATTGTGCCACTGCATTCTAGCTGGGTGACAAAGCAAGCAAGACCTTGTCTCAAGAACATAAACGATATACTTTAGTGGTTCTCAATTGATCTTGAACATTGAATTCATTGGTATTTTTAAGGTTCCCATTTGTTTCTTGTGTGTAGCCAGAATATCTGGTGTACTAGAAACACTCCGAGCTTTGGAACTGAGCAGGCATCCAGGTTTCACTTGTTGACTGGGTTCTTAGACAAACTAATAAACCTGATTGAATCTCAGTTTTTTCATCAAAAAAGTGAAGATGTTAATATCTACTTTAATAGAAAATTGTAAGAAATAAATGTTTACAAGGTATAGAAAATTTCCAAGTGTGGATTAACACAATTTATTATTATTTTCTTTTCTCTTTCCTCTAGGTTTCAAACAGTAAACCATTATTTTACTATCAAAATATTGCATATGAAAAAGCACAGGGAAGTTATTTTATCTTCCTGATAAAAATCAGAAAATCAACTCAAGGTGATTATCTTAATTTCCTCTCTCATTATAGAGAACAAAAACATAACAAGCAATTAGGTAATCTCACTTTATGAAATAATATTCCATCCTTTAAGATATTAGAAATATGATTTTGTTGCCTCAGTATTTCTAAGCAGTGATAATAATAAAACTGCCAAGGAAAGAAAATATGATTTAAGAGACATCATTGGATTATGACATAGCAGGACCTGAATCAGATACAGAGATCCCACTTTAATGTATGACTTGAAATTTGTAGAGTACCAGAAACAAAAGACAAGAGCGTAATGAAAAAACTTACTAGGATCACTAGCTTACATTAACACCCTCTTTATCAAAAATAGGTTTTAATTATTTATAATTTATATTGTTTCCTAAATTACATATCCTAGCTACATGAAAATGCAAATCAAATTTAGTTAAGATATTGTACAATGTATAAGATTTCCCCAAATGAATAAATAATCCAATCAGAATGCATGTTAAAGACTGGGAGGTGCATTAAATGTGCCTTAGTATATGAGACTAAAAAACATTTACTTTTCATTATTTTATTTACTCACAGAACATTATAATTTGAAAATTTTAGAGATCAATTAGCATAGTGAGTAAAAAAAGATGCAGAAAATTAAAATGACTTATTCCATATAATATAGTATATTATTCCATATAATATAGTATAAGTAGCAGACCCTATATCAGAACATTAATGTTTTCACACCCAGTTGAGCTACTTTTTCCCATAAAAGAGTAGTATAGGACGGCCAGGCATGGTGGCTCAGGCCTGTAATCCCAGCACTTTGGGAGCCCCAGGTGGGCGGATCACGAGGTCAGGAGATGGAGACCACCCTGGCTAACACGGTGAAACCCATTTGTACTAAAAATACAAAAAATTAGCTGGGCATGGTGGCGAGCGCCTGTAGTCCCAGCTACTTGGGAGGCTGAGGCAGGAGAATCACGTGAACCTGGGAGGCGGAGGTTGCAATGAGCCAAGACTGTGCTGCTGCACTCCAGCCTGGGTGAAAGAGTGAGACTAAGTCTCAAAAAAAAAAAAAAAAGAAAGAAAGAAACAAAGAGTGGTATAGGACAAACAAGCCAGTCCTTACTGCTTGTCAACTATCACACAGCAGACCTAAAATAAATTTTTTTTTTTTCTTAAGCAGAATGGAAGTAATGCCTGCCTTTTTCAATTTACTCAACAAGGTAGCACATTTTCTGATACTTGTGGAATTGTGTTCCATTATTTCTTTAATTTCATGTTACTAAACACTGGGTTTTTTTAAAGAACAAAAACAGTGTATAAAATCTCTGCATTTTTATAGTTTTCAGTAAGACCAATAGCATACGATTTAAGTAGGACACTCTGATATTTTAGGAAATTTTGGAGTTATTCCATAAACTCTTTCTCTAATCTGTACCATGGTCTAATAACTATCATTCAGCCCAGGGAGGTTCTCCTTTATAGTTAACATAAATCATCTCACACTATAGTTAAACATTTCGCTGCATATTGCGCTTCAGCCTTCTATTCTTCAGGCTGAATAATCTCTACTAGTTTAATGTTTTCTAAGAAGCCTTTACATTGCTTCTTCTATTCTATTCTTCAATTACTTTTCTAGTAGCATATATATAAATACACTCACAAATTCTCCCTTGGAGTTTCAGAAAAGCAACTGCACACTCCTGAAGCACAGAAGGACAATAAAGTCATGTGCAATCTCTGTTCAAACTGGGGTTCTTATGATAACGAATAAAGGTCATAATTTACTACCTTCATGACTGCCAACTATTGTAAATACTAAAGCAGTTTTAAAAACTACAGAATAAATTAAAAGCACAGTTAAAAACCAACCTCAATACAGGGGATTCTGTAGGTAAGTTATAATTTGGAGTTTGAGAAAGGCAGGAATAGAGGAATAAAAATGTTTATCACACTATTTGCATAATATGAATGAATTTCAGAGATGCAGTATTTCAGAATCCAGACAACCAAGCGAATGTTGCTTCCTTTATTGCAAGCACCATGAGAAACACTGTACAGCAGTTATTTATTCCAGGAAACTATAGCAACAATAACACCTTTTACCTTTATTGAGCACTATGTGCCAAGTGTCTTATAAAAATTTATATTATTTACTCTTCATCTCAAAATTGCAAGGCAATTATTAATATGCTACTTTGCAAATAAAAATTGGAAGCATTCTAAGATTGCGAAATCCATCAAATATATAGCCATTACGCAAAAGGTGCAATTAGCTGGCAGCCCATCTGTAAAGTACAAGGTTCCTCCACCATTTCTACTTTGGTTCAAAGCTTTGTGACTCTATTTTAAAATGTATTTAATATCTATTTTAGAAAAAGGTTAGCAATAACAAACAATAATTTTTCTTATCATAAATCCTGCAAATTTAAATCAAAACATAATAATGTTGCCCTTATTTTCCTGTTTAACAGAACCAACAAAATTGGCATATATGATTTTATGGCTTACACAGCTTTTATGAATTATATGGCTATATAAATATTAGATAAGACATAACTTGAAGAATATCATATATCAATTTGAAATGTTATGACACATTTTCATTAATATTCCCAAAAATTTTAAGATGCAGTATTTGACTTTCTGTTACTAAGTTGTTTCATTAAGGATAATGGCTTCTAGTTCCATCCATGTTGCTGCAAAATACATGATTTCCTTCTTTTTATGGCTATGTAGTATTCCATGATGCATAGATATCATTTTCTTTACACATTTGTCCATCGACGATGGACACTTAGGTTGATTTCATATCTTTACTATAGTGAATAGTGCTGTGATAAAGATGTGAGTGCAGGTATCTTTTTGATATAATGATTTCTTTTCCTTTGGGTAGATACCCAGTGTGAAATGGTTAGATCAAATGGTAGTTATATACTTATTTCTTTGAGAAATTGCCATACTGTTTCCTATAGAGATTGTACTAACTGAACATTTCCACCAACAGTGTATAAGTGTTCCCCTTTTTCTGAATCTTCATTAACATCTATTTAAGGTTTTTTTTTTTTACTTTTGAAGACTAAGGAACTCAAAGAACTCAACAACAACAAAAAACCTCACTAAAAAGTGTGCAAATGACACAAATAAGCATTTTTCAAAAGAAAACATACATGTGGCAATCTAGCATATGAAAAAATGTTCATCATTCATGAGATAAATGTAAATTAAAGCCACAATGGGATATCTTACACCAGTCAGAATCCCAAGCAAATACTTTTTAACTCTTCAGGATAGCACAACTAAATAGTTAATATTATATATTTAACTTATAAAAACACAGGCAGCTTTTTAAAAGTTTAAATGCTATATAGAGTGATAATGGAAATGCAATTACTAAGAAAAGAAGGCTATCTAGGTAATATTCATTATGCAATGTTGGTTAAAAATATAGCTAGCTATTGAAATCAGACTCATAGTCACAATGATAAAAATGTTATAATAATAACTTTTGGAGCCCACAATACATGGTTTGGAAGTATGGTAGCAGTGGTGATGTTGGTGGTGGTTGTAATGATGATCATGATGATGAAAAAATAATAATACAATTTTGGGGGGATGACTAATCTGCTCTTTACATTTATTTCTCATTAAATCCTCTAAATTTATGAAGTACAATTCTTATCCACTAAGAGGGAAAAGTCACTTTTTCTGGGTTACCAAACTGCTAGGTGCTAGAAGTATAATTCATATTCAAAGAGCCTATCCAGAACTGGAGCTCTTAACAAAACACTAGGGCAAGCATGAAAGCAACTTGTTAATTGCCTAATTATTTGTTGCTTTCTTCAGAGGGTAGCAGAATCAAGAGAATGATCTCCCAGAAATTTTTACCTTGGAATCAATTTAGAAAACTGATGTGAGTCAACGAGTCCCATTGTAACATTAATTTAGGAGTAGATCTTCATTATTAAGGGCAGTTCTCAAAAAAAAAAAAAAAGCCCTCTCATATCATTGGTTGTTGTGAAAATCAAATTTACAAGGATGAACTGCACACACCACTTTTTGTTATTTCTAAAACTACCTAGAGAGGCAAGAAAACGGGAAGAAAATATCACATGTGTGTGTATACAGTACATACACTGAGATCTCTTTAATATGGCTATTTGGTTTCAAGTTACTTAAACTATATAACTACAGATGTCACCACATATTCTAAGATATTTAGTTTGTGAAATGCTTTGGAAAAGCAAATTCAATGGTCCCATACTAAATTACATTCTTCATAAAGAAAACATCCATTGTGAATATATTTAAATGTTTATTGATTCTTTACACGCACAGCTGTAATCTGAGTTACTATATCTTTTTAAGTTATTCCTAGAGGGGAGTAATAGAGAATTACATGCATAAGTATGGTTTACTCTGAAAAGTCAAAGACCTAAAACGTCATGATTTCAGGGGGAAACCCACAAAGGCAAATGTAACATTTGGTGTCACTTTTATCCTTGGGGTCATTTGTCAAATTGACAGCAAAATCTGAGAAGTTGAGCAGAAAGCAGTGGTTGAGAATGACAGGTCTTAAGCAGGGCCGTCACTAGTGTAACTGAGTTGAGAAGAAGACATTGGAATTCAGGTCTCCCAGGGAGAGGAGTTCCTGGGGAAACTCCTGGTTTTCTTTCCATTGGTAATCCCACTAGGTTCCCAATGACTGACGTCCATCTTGGAATCACTTTAATTCCTGATTGGATTAAGATGTAATGTTTAGAACTTAATTGCCTGCAAAAGTAAATCCTTTCTGCAGAAAGTTAATAATGTTAGAGCCTCAAATTACTCCTATTATTTAATTAAACATTATCAGGTGTACAAGGAGATGGAATCAAATAAATACATAAATAAAAAGGAAAAAGCCAGAAAATATAAACAGAACCAAAGGAGATCTACATAGAGAGTTTTTTTGTTGTTTGTTGTTTTTATTTTCGAGACAGAGTCTCACTCTGTCACCCAAGCTGGAGTGCCGTGGTATGACCTCAGCTCATTGCAACCTCCGCCTCCTGGGTTCAAGCAATTCTCATGCCTCAGTCTCCTGACATAGCTGAGATTACAAGTATGCACCACCATGCCCAGCTAACTTTTGTAATTTTAGTAGAGATGGGGTTTGCCATGTTGGCAAGGTTGGTCTTGAACTTCTGGCCTCAAGCAATCCACCCTCCTGGGCCTCCCAAAGTGCTGGGATTACAGGTGTGAGCCACTGTGACTGGCTCCACATATAGAGTTATAACATAGTCTTAACATAATTGTAATTAATGTGTTCAAGAAATTACATGACAAGATGAAAAATTTCAGCAGAGAATTGAAAACTGTGATGTAAAATCAAATGGACTAAAACATATGATAATTGAAATTTAAATCTTATTAGATGGCTTTAACAGTGCATTTAATACAGATGAAGAGAAAATTAGTGAAGCATAATGAAGGTCAGATAAAATTCTCTGATTGAAACATGGAAACAAAAAACAACAAAAATACAGGAAAAAGCTTAATGACACGGTATACGGTGTAACATCAAAATATATGCAATTGGAGTCCCAGAAGTAAAAAACAGAAGAACTATGCAGAAGCAACATTTGAAAAGATACTGGATCAGATTGTTTAAAAACTAGCCACAGATGTAAATAACATAAACAGCAAACAAATAAAATTCTATGTAAAGGTAGCTCAAACTACAAAAAGCCAAAGAAAAAGGTTAAAAGACGCCAGAGAAAAGACACATCAGCTTCCAAAAAACAAAATCTCTTTTGAATAAAGCCAGAAAATGAAAGCATTGAAAATAAAAATAACTGCAAACAGATTTTTTTATTTAGTTAAAATATGTTTTAAGATGAAACTGATATAGGTGGCTTTTTAAGGAAAAAAGAATGAAAGGGAGACAGAGAGAGAGGGAATTCATCATCAGCACACCCATACTAAAATAAATATTAAGGAAGTTCTTCAGAAATTAAGACAATAATCCCAGATAGATGACTGTATGTAGAAATGTATAAAGTTCAAATAAAATGGCATATATTTAGGTAAATCTTAATAAATATTGAGGTCATGATGCATATGATCACATATCTGTTGAATTAAATACATAACTGAAGATGTAAATGAGAGATAAATAAAGTATTTTAATGTCCTAACATTACACAGAAAATTACATGTGTTCATTTAAATTAGGCTTTCTCCAGGTCAAAGATATACATTGATATCTCTATCATAACCACTAAAAGAATAGTTTATTTAAATTGCATAACTAACAAAGTAATAAGAGGAAATAGAATAATTAGAAAATAATTATTTCAAGGAGATACAAAAAGGAACATAGAACAAGAGGGACAAATAGAAAACAAAATTAAAAACATACATTTAAATTCAAATATATCAGTAGTTACATTAAATACAAATATGATCCAGACTCCAATTAAAAGATAAAAAGGATTTTTAAATCTGAATTTTACCATAAAAGCCAACTATATGCTGTCACTAGAGACATATAAAAATGAGCAAATGCAGAAAAACAAAAATAAAAGAATGGAAAATAGATATCGCACAAATACTAACCAACAGAAACTAGCACAAGCAATACTAATATTAGACTATGTAGGATTAACACCAGAATATTTATTAAAAATAAAAAATCATAATTATAAAAGGGCTAATACATCCAATAATATATTTTCAAGATATATTAAAAAATTGACAGAATAAAAGAGATAAATAGAAAAATTCATAGTCATAATAGATAAATAGAAAAATTCATAGTCATATTCGAAGGTTTTAACACACCTTCCTCAGAAACTTGCAGGACACAAAGGAGAAAACATGGAAATAAAGATCTTTTATTGAGAGCATTTAGACTGTCCAATGGGTTTCAAAAATATTAATTGTTAACAACAATTTTTAAAAACTTTTAAAAAGAGATTTTTAATGTCAACCTGTCAAACAAATGAATATCTTTTTCTTTCTCTGAAAGATGAAGTGAAGAGGTGATCAAAACAATGTAAGGGTAGAAGAGAATGAAAGAAATTAAATTATTCTCTACTTGGAGAAGCAGCATGTTAGTAAAAGAAAAAGCCAAGAATATTATAACTGTGCAAAGCCTCTTAGAATATCTTGCCACACGTATTCTGAGGATTTTTACTCTCCTATACCTTTGATTTTCATGAATTTAGGGCATACTATTTTAAAAATTGTTTAAGTTTGTCAGATAATATAAGATTAACAATATCTCTATTTGGACCCGAGTATTTAATCCTTTCTATTCTCCATTTTCATTTAAATTCTGAGTAAATGCACACATACATGTTTACTAAAGCTATATTTTTGCATCCATCAAAATTTTAGGGATCCTCTCAATACTACCCAAACTAGGACATGTGAAAACAATAAATTGAAAACTATAAGGAAAGATCTAGGTCAGACCAGATCTGTATCAAAAAGATCTTACTCATTCTCAGAGTTTTGACTCCAAATGTAAGAGAGAGAAAGAGAGCAAGAGCCAGTGAGTAAGAGAGCCAGAAAGTGTTGCCTTCATAGGTGGAAATGAGAGATAACAGGTTAGAAAATAGTGTTTTGTTTCAATCTGAAAGAAAAGATAATTTAAAACTTCCCAAAGTTCTCTTTTACCATGCAATAAATAACTATCAAAAGCCATGAAAACACTAGACTGTTACTGTCATCTCACAAAACACACCACAAAATGTGCTACAGAAATTTTTTAATAAAAATCTATCTTTTACTTCATCAAACCAGGAGGATAATTTAAAGAGAGCAGCTGATATGAGGGATCCTATTATAAAACTTTATTATGATTATATATAACTCAGATAAACAGAGAATCATTGTATTTTTTATTGAATCTGCTAGATTTGACATGAGAAACAAATAACTAAAATTCCTATAATTACACTGTCAAAAACCACCAGGCCAAATATCAAGTATACTTTTTTAATATAGTGATATTAATGCCATCTATAGGTACAGAACAGTATGCATGAAATGTAAGTCATTTCAAAATATAAACAATTGCTAGAATAATCTAAATTTAAATATGCAAAATAATATTTTGATAATATTTCATTATAAATAACTGCACTGTTTTCTTTACTGAAATTAAAATTTCTGATGACAATAATCAACCTCAATCTTATTTCTTTTCCTCCTTTCTAACCCCACCTATAAAATAAAAATTTATTATATAGCCAGCATCTCTTCTATACTTCTTTTCTGGCAAAAACATCACACTCATTCTTATACTTATACTACTGTGGGGCAATAGGCCTCCAAAGAAGTTTAAGTTGTGTGTTATTCTTTCACTTACAGAGATATAAATAATATAGCCCAAGAAACTGAGAGAGGGTTAGGCGTACAATAAAGGGCTAAATAAGTGGTTTTGAATGAATGAATAAATGAATGGGAAAACTTTGTCATGGAAGCTAGCTTCTATGAAAGAGAAGATATGAGCAGATTTTTAAAAAATCGCAATGCTATGTAACAGAAGAGAGAAATGAGCAATGTACATTTAGAATGGAAAATGGGTTAATTTAAAATGTATGTTTAACATTTATTCAAAAATATGTTGCATATATAAGAAAAAATTAAAACTATAAGAATTAGAATTTAGTATGTAAAATGAAATATAAAGTATAAAAGGAAGAAAATACAAATTCAAGTGTCAAGTAAATTAAAGTAATAAGGATTCCTTTTTTTGTAATACAGCTGATGAAAAATTATAAAGTATATGTTATTCCATTGGATAACAAAATCTTAATATTAGCCCTTGAAAAATAATTAAGTGTTGTTAAATAAAGCATCCCAACGAATTCACATAATCGGATTTCAATTTTATACTATAACAGAAACAAAACATAAGGGATCTGATATGGTCTGGATTTATGTCCCCACCCAAATCTCATGTTGAATTGAAGGAGGGGCGTGGTGGGAGGTGACTGGATCATGGGGGCAAATTTCCCCCTTGCTGTTCCTGTGATAATGAGTGAATTCTCATGAGATCTGATGGTTTAAAAGTATGTAGCACTTCCCACTTTGCTCTCTCTCTCCTGCCACCATGTAAAGAAGGTTCTTGCTTCCTCTTTGCCTTCTACCATGATTGTAAGTTTCCTGAGGCCTCCCAGTCATGCTTCCTGTTAAGTCTGTGGAACTGAGTCAATTAAATATCTTTTCTTCATAAATTACCCAGTCTCAGGTAGTTCTTTATAGCAGTGTGAAAATGGACAAATACATGATCCTACAACCTTTCAAGATTTAAATTAACTAATGCGTTTTTGTAGACGTGCATAGTTTTAAATAAATATAAAAGCATATCACTCAATAAGGAAACAATTTGTGAAAAATGAAGCATCAAGGTGCCTCAAGTTATATAAAATAGGAAATAGGTATGGTGGTGGCTGAATTTACTGGAAATATAAAAATTATGTTAAAAAATAAGATATTTCAAAATGTTATTCACACTTACGAATGTACACCCTGTTGTATTAAAATATTATTAATATAAATACTGACTCTATCATGGTGTCTATCATAATTTTAATTAATTTATCTCATTGGTTCTTCAATACTTACGTTTCATTAAAATTTTTTTTTCAATTTGTATTTCTAGCACAAAACCAAAAGAAAAAATAACATTGGCACAGATATATGAAGGAAAGTCAACTATTTCCCTCTACTCCTCTATTCTTTCTTAGGTAACACATGATACCACTGCGCAGTGTTTCTCATATACAAATATGCAAACATATAAAATACACTTTTTATAAAAATGAGATTATTTTATCTTCATTACTCTGTTACTTGTTTTCCTTTTAAGAGGATATAATCTCTCAAATAAAAACAAGCACACATAAAATTACACAGCTCTGACAGCTGGAAATTCAAAGCAAGTTTTTTTTTTAAATAGGAACTCTTATTACCAAATAAATCTATTTTATAAAGACAAGTAGGTTGTCTGGTAAGAAAGATGGCAGTTAAACGACTTGAAATGCATTTGTGGGAGCCATAGGCTTGGCCCCCTAAAAGTTTTCTGAAAAATCACAGGCATGAGGCATATTAATTAATAGGAGGAACAGCAGACAAATTTATTTAACATGCATACACGGAAGCCTTCAGAATGAAGACCAAACCTTCCCAATGAGTTACAGAAACTTAATTTTGAGGATACAGAGAAACAATGGGGCCTTGGATTCTTCTAGTAAGACAGGTTATGGGAAAAAGGGGAAGAGGAATTCTGTTGAAGGGCAATAAATAATTGCTAGCAAAAATGATTGAATGGGGAATAGAGATTAACTTGTAAATAGTTTTCTTTGGAATTTAAATGGTCCTTGTCATTATGCTTGTAAGTTATTATACTCATAAAAAGGTCCACTGAGGTATGATCTCATCTTGGTCTTCTTTTTTGCAATAGATAATAAGATAACAGGGAAGAGAAGAAAAAGAATATTGTTCTCCTTATTGGGTCTAGATCTTTTCCTTTGGGAAAGATAGTCAGAGACACCCTAAGGCTTCTTCAGTTCAGCATGTCAAAATGCCATATTTTGGGATATCAGTTTCTCAGCTCCAACACATGCAAACAGACCACTGATTCTCTGACTCAAAAGTAACAGCCCATTATTTTCAGAAGAAAAGTGCTGAAAATCTGATAATGTAGTATTTTAGTATTATTTCTACAATCATATACAACATTATTATAAAAGACATCACAAAAACTAGGAACTTTTGATTCCAGTAGCAACATGTGACTTCATTATTTTACTGCATGTTTAATCATCCTGAAATACAAAAATTATATTCCTAAGTGTTTTTATTACATTTAAATATTTAGGAAGTAAATTTGTTTATACACCTACAATTTTAAAATTTACTTATAAATTAAATTGCTACAGGAAAAAATTTTGCATATTAAATTTGAAAATAACTGTGAGGGGTCTGATATTTTACTCAATAAATATAAATCAATTAGTATGCCCCAGTTTCATAAATGCTAGCAGAACACTTGAGACTTTCTGGGTTAAATATACAGGAAATTTATTATTCAGGATATAGCAGGTAGCATGAACTTAATTTTTCCATTGACTCCAGTTGTCCATGCTATTTCTCATCCCCCAAGTTTAATGGACACTATATGAAGCAATCCAGGTGGAAGGGATACACACATTGTGTTTGTGCCACAGCTAAATAATCTCAAGCTTAGGAACAACAATCTTTTAAATGTGTTGCTAGCAAACCTGCCAAAACTTGTCTTGGAAGGAGACATTAGCTTTCAAATTTGCTCTCTGTCCTAGAGGGGGAACGCTATCTCTGTCTTCCAAGTTATTTGCTTTACAAACTTTTTTTTTTTTAATTATACTTTAAGTTCTGGGATGCATGCAGAGAACGTGCAGTTTTGTTACGTAGGTATACACGTGCCATGGTGGTTTGTTGCACCCATCGACCTGTCACCTACATTAGCTATTTCTCCTAATGCTATCCCTCCCCTATCCCCCACCACCTGACAGACCCCGGTGTGTGATGTTCCCATCCCTGTGTCCATGTGTTCTCATTGTTCAACTCCTACTTATGAGTGAGAACGTGTGGTGTTTGGTTTTCTGTTCCTGTGTTAGTTTGCTGAGAATGATGGTTTCCAGCTTCATCCATATCCCTGGCAAAGGACATGAACTTACCCTTTTTTATGGCTGCATAGTATTCCATAGTGTATATGTGCCACATTTTCTTTATCTAGTCTATCACTGATGGACATTTGGGCTGGTTCCAAGTCTTTGCTATTGTGAATAGTGCCACAATAAACATACGTGTGCATGTATCTTTATAGTAGAATAAAGAATGAATTTGGCTTTATTTTCCATGAAATAGAAATCTGCTAAAATTTTTTGAGAAAATAACATGATGAAATAGATATGAGTGGATTAATGAAGAGAAAGGAGAAAATTTCTCTTTCTCTCTATCTGTAGTAATTAGCCTTTCTCATCTACTATTATTCAAGTCTTTATTCTACAAATGAAGAAACAGAATTGAAGACATTAAATAACTTCCCCAAAGGCACTTAGTATGCAAACGTCAGAGACAAGATTCTATCCCAAGTTAGTTCGACTTCATAGTTTATGTTCTTAAACATTTTGCAATACTGCTTCTTAGTTATGAGACTATTACAAGATTTCACATATTTAAAGCAATTTTAGACTAGAGCATTGGTTATAGAAATGGAGAAGAAAAGTTGAGGTAGGAAGAAAAGATTTTACAGAAAGAAAAGGACTTAGTGACACATTGGCTTAGCATAAAACTGTGTTAAAGTAGAGCCTGGGTTTTAATTATTGGTATTCAGTAAAATGATGGTGTAAAAAATATGTAGGTATTTAGGGAAAGGCAAAATTGATACCAAGAAGCACTATTTATAAGCATGCTGAGTGTAAAGTGGGGTAACATATTAAAGAGTAGATATTAGCTGTTGAAGAGGTTGGACCTGATATGGTATTCCCTTTCATTCACTGATTATCTCCCTTTCTTTTATTGCACAAGCAGGTTGTTTCAGAATGACTTGTTTCTATTCATCACATTCCTTTTTTCATCATAAGTTTTATCCAAAGTCTTTACAAGTCTGGTGTCCAAACTATCCTGTTACTATCTTAACATGTTCCTTTCCTTAATTAAGAACTTCCTTTGCAATTGAATCCCACAAGCTTTCTTTTTTTTCATTATTCTTATTTTACAGAAAACATGGCAACCTTCTTCCTTTTTGCTCAAAAAGATTCTTCCTCGTTTTCACTTTCTTGACCCTTTCTTTTCTTTCTGTTTGTTTGTTTGTTTGTTTGTTTTTGAGACGGAGTCTTGCTCAGTCGCCCAGGCTGGAGTGCAGTGGTGCAACCTCGGCTCACTGCAACCTCTCCCTCCCAGGTTCAAGCAACTCTCCTGCCTCAGCCTCCCGAGTAGCTGGGATTACAGGTGCCTGCCACCATGCCCGGCTAATTTTTTTGTGTTTTTAGTAGACACGGGGTTTCACTATGTTGGCCAAGCTGGTCTTAAACTCCTGACCTCATGATCTGCCCGTCTTGGCCTCCCAAAGTGCTGGGATTACAGGCTAATTTTTGTTTAGCAGAGATGGGGTTTCGCCATTTTGGCCAGGCTGGTCTCAAACTCCCGACCTCGTGATCCACCCACCTCTGCCTCCCAAAGGCCTGGGATTACAGGTGTGAGCCACCACACCCAGCCCCTTGACCCTTTATTTTCACTAAATTATACTTTCTTTGGAAATGTATTATAGTTATTATAAATATGATTTCTAAAGCTCAGAGTGCTTTAGTTAAAATATTAGTTTCAAAGTACCCAACCACTTTGTCTTAATATGTTTGGGCTGCTATAACAAAATACTATAAACTGATGGCTTAAACAACAGATAATATATTTCTCACAGTTTTGGAGGCTGGGAAATCCAAGATGAAGGGGCTGGCAGATTCAGTTCTTGGTGATGGCTCTCTTCCTGGCTTGCAAATAGCTGCCTTCTCACTGTGTCCTCACATGGTAGAGACAGAAAACTTTGGTGTCTCTTCCTCTAAGTGCACCCACCCTACTGATTCAGGGCCCCACGATTGTGACCTCATTTAACCTTTATTACATCCTCACAAGCCCTGTCTCTAAGCATAGTCACATTGAAGGTTAGTCTTTCAACATGTGAATATTGAGAGGGCACAAGCATACTGTTTATAATAGTAATTAATCTCTTCATTTCCAATTTTTATATAATCTTCAGCCTCTCTCTTCTTAGCTTCCCATTGCCACTGCCACACTCCATATTCTTACTATTTCAAACCTGAATCAAAGTTGATCTTCATTTCTCCCAATAAACTTTATTCTAATATGTCCTGCATATTAACCCACAAATTAATTTCTGGACAGGATTGTTATTTTCACAACATGCTTCTGTATGAAAAATTTCTTAAAATTCACTTAACCTCTTGGCCATTTTAATAGTGAAACCATTCAAGGAGCATTGCCCCTGTTTTCTTATCAGTGCAAAGCTGTCAAGCCTTATCGCCATGCACATAGATGAATGTGTAAGAAGCAGCAGCTAACTTCTGCTCTGTCACTAATATTATAAGACCGTGTTACTCTCTTGGTTGTCTTCCCTATATTAGTACAACACACAAAGTCCTAAGGTTCCCCATATAAAATCTAATCTTGGCTTTGTTCTTTCTACTGTATTTGGGATATTGACTGGTATATTACTTTTCTAGGGCTGCCATAACAAAATACCACAGATTGGGTGGCTAAAAGAACAGAAATTTATTTTTTCAAAGTCCTGGAGCTAGAAGTCCAAGATCAAGATGTCAGCAAGTTTGGTTTCTCCTACAGCTTCTCTTCTTGGCTTGCAGATGGTGCATTCTCTCTCTGTCCTCACTTGGCTTTTACTGTTTCTTTGTCTTCTTATAAAGACAACAATCATATTGAATTAGGGCCCTACTCTTATAACCTCATTTAACCTTAGTTAAAGGCCTTATCTCCAAATACAGTCACATTGGTGGTTAGGGCTTTAACATATTAATTTTGGGGACATACAATTCATTCCATAACAACTGGTTTTCTTAGAAACTCTCTCTTATAGTATGCCCTACAACCACAGAAATTTCAGGCTTTAAGTATGACTTAATTTTTTGAATACCAGGAACTTGTATACTTCTTTCTTGAGGGCAACTCTCTTTCTTTCTTTCTTTCTTTCTTTCTTTCTTTCTTTCTTTCTTTCTTTCTTTCTTTCCTTTCTTTCTCTCTCTCTTTCTTTCTTCTTTTTTTCCTTTATTCCTCTCATTTTGTCTTTCCTTTTTGTAGACTCAGAGACTGACATACAATGAAAATTTGTTGATAAACTGAACAAAAAACTGTGAGTCTATGTCTAAACTGAATTCTATAACTACGGTAAGGAGCCTATAAAATAATTGCACCTAATACTCTAATATTGAACCTAAAAGGTAAACATAAAGCTCAAGCAGATAGTGAATGAAAAAAAGTTCCCTTAAGAAATGGAGGCACAATTAAAATATCGTATAAATTATCTTATTTTAAACATGTTTTCCTCTGCCTATTTCTCCCCACTGAGATGTTAAGCACAGGCATGAATATTTTTTGTTGTTGCTGTTTTTCACATAACGTATAAGCCAAATACCAATTGTTATTACTTATGGATTGATTAGTTTCATTTTCATCTGGATTTCTTACTATCTTGAAATTTCTTCACTTCCTAAACTCTTAGGACAAATGACTTAAGTCCATTTAAACTTATCATAAACAAATGTAAAATAAACTATTTTTGGAATTTGCTTTTTGTTCTCCTACACCCGACTCTACAATCAATGTTATTTTAAAGTATATATTTTGTATAAAGTGGAGAGTACACTACTATTTTTTTAATTGTCAAAAATAGTTTTTATTTTTCACAATTTTTAAAATCACTGAATATTCATCCTATTTCACTCATTTTACTTACCTTACAAATACATAGCATGCTTTTGGGGAGAAAAGCTATGATCTTTCAAATTTCTAGTTTTATGTTTTAATTTTCATGGCAGAGTATAAAGAACATTTCTAAGAAGTTTGAAAATACTAACATTTGCTAAATTGACCAATAGCTTTTTGAAATCTAGAAAGCCCTGTAAAAGCGGTTAACGTGCTCATATGTGTCTACCTGAGAAACAACAACAACAACAAAAACCCCTCCTTAAACACAATTTACTCTGTCCATGTCTTACTCTCAAAAATTATAAAGGAACAATACCACAGCGCTTGTGGCAGTGGCCAAACTGGCTCACTCTGCACATGGTAAAAGTCTCACAAAAGTTGATAATCAGAAAACAGCAGTTAAACTACCATAATGGTTACAGAAATGGTGGTGTTAAAAATTCTCATTATAATAAGATAAGGAGAATTCTCAATTAAACCTAAATGCTTGCTTATCATGCTAGGGACAGAAATTCAATTTGGGTGGGCGCATAATGAGCTGAAAGAACATGGCAATCTGAAGCACTGATGGAAACACACCATTTATCCTGGGCTATCATTTAAAATGAAAAGGATGTGTGTTGGGGTGGGGGGATGAGGGTATTTGTAGAGAGTACTAAGCAATTTTGCGTTCTGTGTAAGGAAATATTTTACGAGATTTAGGTGGATCCCAGGACACTTTTGCTCTGTCTGGCAAAACAAGCCAAGACTTCTACTACCCTAGGAAAGTAAGAAGATATAGAATATCATAGGGCTAATGCAAATGAAAGGAAAGGGTGGGTCATTAAAAGTAATCTATGCATTGCTTTACTGCTAAGAGGGAGAAATTAAATTCACACACAGGAAAGGTCAAAGTCAGAGCCTAAAAGTAGACAGAAATAGTAAGTTCAGTTAACATAGTGAAGAAAAGCAGGATAGACCTGACAATAAGGATACCAAGAAATGGCTCAGAAGCAATGTTTGAATGCAGACATACTTCCTGGTTTATGCATCCTGGTATTTTTTTGCAAGGTTGGGTAGAAATTTCAATGAGGTCAAATTTAACCTGACAGAGAGGAAGCAATAGATGTCATCTATGCATTTAAGGTGTTTGTTTTTTAGGTCTATTTTTAAGATCCCTTCCAACTCTACCTCCTAAACCCCAGTGTATACAAATACACACACTCAAACCCAATGAACATATAGGCACTTGTGTACTTGCACTCATGTATGTTCCTGCACACACACATACACACACTTCAGGCATCCTGGTATCACTTTCATTCTCTACTATTATAATATTCTCAAATCCAAACACAAATTACTATATAGTATGATTATTTTTCCCCCAAAATTCCTATTTTTGCTATATGCACAGAGATTTAGATGTTATCTGCTGATTTTTTTCCCCAAAATCAACGCCAGCAGTTTTTTGGCCTGTGGTCCAGAGAATTATATGTATCCATGGCAATATTTACTGCTCTTTTACCACAATTCATTACCAAAAAAAAATTGTTTCCTCTTCTGAGGGTTTCTAGAAAAAAGAAATATAACTTTGACAGATATTAAACAATTTGTCAGTAAGATACATAGTCTTGGATGTTAACCAAGTAAAGAGAAATATTCAGAAGAAACAATTCAAGATTATTTAGCGTTTTCAATTATCTTTCCGGTGGTATTTAAATTTGACACAGCCCTAGCAAGGATATTTCTAAAGTACTTAAATAAAATAGATATGTTTCTCAATAATGTGGAGCAAATGAGCCTTCCAGTATTAGAAAATTGGCTTTTGGTTCAAAACAGCCTTAGGTTTAAAAAGCAGTAAGGGCATATTGGGACATAGAATTTCAGTAGGTACTAAATTAGATCACACCTTATCAAAGCATGTTTTTATGACCATGTGTCAAAACCATAAACCAAGAGTTAAGTTAAACAAAAATATGATGATTGTGAGCCTTTCCAAAGCCCTGAATAGGAAATAAATAATACAATTTAAACAACAGCAAATTAGGATTGTTCCATCTGAGAATACGCAATTAAAATAATGTTTTAAGTTGTAAACAGTAAATCCCTACATATCTAGATAAAATGTCACCTTGAAGACTATAAGTATAGATATAAAGGAAATTGTTTAGAAGAAGATATAGATGAATTAAAATTGTTTGGCTTCAAATAGAAGCTACGAATATCATTACTATAACACAGAATTCCTTGCAAGAAAAGCACTTACAACACATCTCTGTTTCATCGAACATTTTTGAATATTTCTTAAAAACAAAACAAAATTTTGGAAAGATTTTAAAACCTAGGTAAACGTAGGTATCTATTTGGACATGCTTATAATTCACTGATATCCTATCCAAAATTTGCTATGAAACAATGTAACTTGATCAGAGACTTAGAAAGGTGGATAAGAAGTACAGGTTGAATGGAATACTATGCCGCAAAAGAATGAGATCGTGTCTTTTTTTCTTTTTTTTTTTTTTTAGACGGAGTTTTACTCTTGTTGCCCAGGCTGGAGTGCAACGGCATGATCTCGGCTCACTGCAACCTCCACCTCCTGGGTTCAAGTGATTCTCTTGTCTTAGCCTCCCGAGTATCTGGGATTACAGGTGTGTGCCACGACATCCAGCTAATTTTTGTACTCTCGGTGGAGATGGGGTTTCATCATATTGGTCAGGCTGGTCTTGAACTCCTGACCACAGGTGATCTGCCTGCCTCGGCCTCCCAAAGTGCTGGGATTATAGGTGTGAGCCACCGCACCTGGCCAAGATCATGTCCTTTGAAGGGACATAGATGGAGCTGGAAGCCATTATCCTCAGCAAACTTATGCAGGCACAGAAAATCAAACACTACGTCTTCTCGCTTATAAGTGGGAGCTGAATAATGAGAACACATGGACAGAGGGAGGGGAACAACACGCACTGGGGCCTGTTGGGGGTTGGGGAGGGAGAGCATCAGGATAAATAGCCAATGCACGTGGAGCTTAATACCTAGGTGATGGGTCTATAGATGCAGTAAACCACCATGGCACACGTTTATCTATGTAACAAACCTGAATGTTCTGCACATATATCCTGGAATGTAAAATTAAATTAAATTAAATAAAAAAAATACAGATTGAGCAACCCTAATCCAAAAATCAAAAATTCTCTAAAATCTACAACTTTTTGAGTGCCAACATGGTGCCACAAGTGAAAAATTCCACACATGAACACATAACACAAGTTTACTTCATGAACAAAACTATTAAAAATATTGTATAAAATTATCGTTAGGTTGTGTGCTTAGGATGTATATGAAACACAAATGAATTTTGTGTTTAGACTTGTGTCCCATTCCCAAGATATCTCATTACATATACGCAAATATTCCAAAATCCAAAAACTCTGAAATCTGAAACACTTCTGATCCTAAGTGTTTTGGATAAGGGATATTAAACCTGTGTTTAGAAATCCTGTGAACTAGCAAAAGAATCTCTGCAACAAACGTGAGGCTCAAGGCCCAAACTTCAGCTCTGGCACATGAAAGAAATAGGATACTAAAATCAAGGACCAGTTCTAGAGAAAACTATAATCATAAATGTACTATCAAGCCAGCAATCAAAACCAACCTGGGCAACAAATTTAGAATTAATACTAAAATTAAAAAAAACTTTTTAAGGGGGAAAGAGAAGTAACATTTATTTAGATCCTTCCATTGCCAGACACAAATGAAATCTAACCTTTACAACAACATTTATATGATTTTTTTAATCCCCTTATTACACCCAAAGAAACCTATGACTGCTAAAGAAATTAAACAAAACTGAATTAAATTACATTCTTAAATTTTTGTAGATCTAAGATTTGAATTCAGGCTTGTCTAATGGCAAATCCAGTTTCTTTGTTTCACTAGTGGCCCTCAGACTTTGTGAAAATCATAAAATAATATCTAATACGTATTGAGCATTTGCTATGTGTCCAACACTGTTCCATGCATTTGAAGTATATTAACACATTTAATATTCTCTACAAACCTAAGTGATATGTGACTGTTATCCCCAACCTACTGAGGCAAAGAATTTAAACAACCTGCCTAAGAACATTTAACTAGTAATGGAATAAGATTTAGACTGTATATTCTTGCTCCTAAAACTAATGCTCCAATGTCACGGACCCAATGCCTCCCATGACAGTTTAATCTCCTCTCTCTGAAGTAGTATAGGATGACAGGCCCAGGACAAATCCTGAATCTGGACAGCTGCCTGTTTCCTTAAACAAAGTGTTATGGGAACTAGCAACACACATTCATTCATTTAATGTAGCTGCTTTCACACTACAACTTAGTTGAGGAGTTGAAATACAGAAAATATACAGTCAGAAAAACCTAAAATATTTACTAACTAGCCTTGACAGAAAAAGTTTGCTGACTCCTAATGTAGATCATGCATAACAAAACAATATTCATGTTTTCAAGAGAAGTGAAGTGAATATTTCATGAGAAATCATTATTTTTTTTAAACACTCCACTCTTCATAGTCTGCTCAAAAGTCCATTTAATCAAAGAGAACAAAACAAATGGGTCTACTTATGTTCACACGTATTTATCTTAAATATAAATTGACTCATTTCTATTTTATCAATAGCTAGTCCTCTATATATCTTGAGCACTTTTACTTTAAAAAAAAAAAAAACAGAAAATAATGCATGTATGTATGTATGTATTTATTTTTGAGACAGGGTCTTGCTTTGTTGCCCAGGCTGGGGTGCAATGGCACAATCACACCTTATTGCAGCCTCAAACTCCTGGGCTCAAGCCATCCTCCCATGTCAGCCTCCAGAGTAGCTGGGACTACAGGCGTAGCTGAGACTACAAGTGTGTGCCTCTACATCCACCTAACAATTTTATTTTTAGTAAAGATGAGATCTCTATGTTGCCCAGGCTTGTCTCGAACTCCTGAGCTCAAGCAATCCTCCTGCCTAGGCTATCTGAAGTGCTGGGATTACAGGCATGAGCCACTGTGCCTCTCCAGAAAATAACATATTTAAAATGACAATATTTGAAATAGTAAATGTCTATCTACTGGTAAATCTAAACTAAAATAAAGTCCATCAATTTCCACAAGTTTTCAATTTTATCAAGGTTAAAATGATACAGTTAAGGAATAAGTGCATTCCAGCTAAACGAGTCACTAGATTCTGAAACACTTTTGCTCATCTGTAAACATGTGAATATTATTAGATTCATACTACTTTTAAGAAATTGCATTATGTTATCTAAAGTTGTAACATCATATTTGATAGAATCACTCATTAAAAACAGCTATTTTAACTGTAGTTAAATATGCCTTTGATTCTGATTTTCAAACAAAAACAAAACATAATTTCAGTAAAAATGTGTCTCAGAGGAACACAATTACGGCTTTTCCACTTTGCTTAAGTGATTCTCTGCTCACTGTCTTTTTCCAAAACCCATCAGAAGCGCTGACGACTCAAGTATTCCTTGGAGATTCTGCAGGGTGCCGTCTGCTGTATACCTGTTATGTTGCAGCTTGAAATTCTTAATGTCGGATTTAGCCCATCGAATCACACAAAAGTATGTGAGTTGTTTTACAAGTGAAACATTAATGCTGGATTCATGAAGAAAACTGAAAGTTAGACATGCATAATAAAACCACATTAGTGGTTATTTGATTAATTATTGAATATGATAATAACACAAATAGATTACCACACCAGTTAGGTACAATGAAGGTGGCATTATTGTTAAAACTGTGGGTTGCAGTTCGTTTTCTTATAAGCAATCAAATATTATGCATGACTAGCAGATAATATAAGTACACATACCAGAAAAGAAATCTCTGGCATATGGGTATACATTTGTTCACCTTGATCCTGCTCCACTTGCATTTTGACATCATATAAATATCAGAAGATACATTGACAGCATAGGAGTAGGCAAAATATTTCTGCCATTTTTACAGGCATAGGGATACACAAGAAAAAGGGTTGTGGGGAGTAATGTTGCTGTACAGGGAACCACTCGGATTACATACACTTGGAAAGTGAGTTTTTTAATATAAGATTTCACATACATAAGAAAACATGTATACATAATTATTTTGAAAAAATGTAAGAAAATATATTGTAAATAATAATACCTAGAAAGACCTCTGTGTGCCCCTTCGTAACTGCACATGCCTTCCCCCACTACCTCTAACAGATAATCTTACCCTGAATACGGTGTTTAGCATCTTCTTACTCTTTAAATCTTTTTTCTTATGGTCTTACTATATACATATCTATTACTTAACAACATATTATTTAAGTTTGCATATTTTTAACTCCATATTCTGTATGAGGATTTACCTGTGACTTGATTTTTGTACTCAAAATATTTTTTGTGGGCATAAGAATACAATTAACATAAAATATATTTTAGATTAATATATTATACCTCATTGGGAGAGTAATGTAATAAAAACACCAGGGAAAACTTAAAATTATCTAGTAGTTTTGAACATGCACCATTACACTTTTGGAAGAGACCAGATTTCCACGGAGAGATTAGGCACCCTGCCCAAAATCATATGCACCTAGTAATTGTGAGAGCTGAAATTCAAATCTGAGCAGTTTGTTCTAGTACCTTGCATTAGTCTGTTTTCATACTGCTATAAAGAACTGCCCAGGACTGGGTAATTTAAAAAAGAAAGATGTTTGACTCATAATTCAGCATGGCTGGGGAGGCCTCAGAAAACTTACAGTCATGGTGGAAGATGAAAGGGAAGCAAGGCACCTTCTTCACAAGGTGGCAGGAAGGAGAAGTGCAGAGCGAAAGGGGAAAAAGTCCCTTATTAAACTATCACGTCTCCTGAGAACTCACTCACTATCACAAGAACAGCATGGGAGAAATCATCCCCATGATTCAATTACCTCCACATGGTCTCTCCCTTGACATCTGGGGATTATGGGGATAATGGAGATTACAATTCAAGATGAGATTTGGGTGGGGACGTAAAGCCTAATCATATCATAACTGTATCCTGTGATCACTATGCTAGATTTATTCTGCAGTATTAAGTAATAACATTAAGTAATATAAATAATACTTTTTAAAAGAAAAATGATACCTCAACATGGAGAATACTCTATAAAATGAATTTTTGTTTATCATTCTTGATTAACCTAATAAAATCTATAGTTTCCTTCCAAAACTAAGACATGTCTTACTTTAAAAGCTATTTTTAAAACTCAGGACATCTATTATTAATTTTCATGTCTTTCACATTCATAGACCAATGCCATAAAGGAATTAACAAACAATTTAACAACTGAGAACTAGATGGAAATGGTTATTTCTATTCTAGGCTTTGACTATCCAAGTTAACACTTAGAATAGGTTGTTTTATATATTGAAATTCCTAAAGCTTATTACTATGCTTTTGGAATTAACTTCAAAGGATTGCCAAATCGATTGCTTATCTTTTCTTATCCTACTTACTTTTCAGCACCTCCCCAAGCTGACCTTCTTGAAGCAATATTTTCTCTTGGCTTTTTGAAAGACACTATGCTCTTAGTGTTCTTCCTAGCTCCCTGGACACTCTTTCTCTTGATTTTCCAATCATTAAATATTGGCACATCCTAATCTGGTTTTAAATACAAATTCTCTCTTCCATAACTTTAAATAGAATCTATATGATCATGAATAATCAATCTACATTTCTAGCCATGATCTTGCTGGATGTACAGACACATTAATTCAAATTTCTGCTTGACACATACATTTGCATGTTGAAATAAGAATTTCAACCTTCACCTGATCAAAATAGAACTCTTGTTTCCTTCTGTCTTGCACAGGTTACTCCTCTTCTAGTCTTCCAAGGCTCATAAAATGGCAATATAATCTGCCTGTAACTCAAGTGACAACTTTCAGAGTAATGCTTGATTTTTCTCTATCTGTCACCACTCTATTCCAGTTCACAAGCAGGTACTATTGACAAGACTTCAAAAAAACACTACACATCTCTTCCCTTCTATCTCAATTTCTTTCATTCTGGTCTGTCACCCTGAGTTCTCACCTGGAACAACCACAGTATATGTTGACTCTAAACAGGAAATTCAATTGACATGTTGTAGTACTTTTGTGGAGTGGTGTCAAGTCAAATGTGCTGCCATAATTGAGTATGTCCAGAAAAGCATAAATGGCAATAATCCTTCTAGTTTTAGTTTTAGATAGTATGGCTTTTATTAAAAATTATTGGTAAATTATTTTAATTTTATTAAAAATTATTGATAATTTTATTGATATTGATTCAATATTGATTGATATTGATTCAATGAATACAACACATTATGCTATTAAGAAGCATTTACTGATATATATGTGTATATATATATAAAGAATATATATATGCTTTTTTAATTGTTATATTTTTAAGTGTTTAAGAAATCTCAAATATTTCACACGTGGCTTGACATAGTTGGCAATTATCACACAAGTAAGATCACTGCAGTGGCTCATGTTCATGAGTGCCTACCCCAAACTCACACTGTGATGTTCTGTACACATTTTATTGCTTAATTGTCCAAATAATCCTATGAGGTAGTTATTAATATTACATATGATGAAACAGAAACTTAAGAAAACATTAATCAACTTACAGTAGCTATACAATGGCAGAAGTGAGATTCACACCTAGATCTCTACGATTCAAAACAACTGTAATCTTTACCACTGCAATATACTTCCTCCAGTGGAATTTTGTGAGTGAAATGGGGTTGGGGTTAGGAAAGACTTTTTCTCCACCTTCTCTAATCTCTCCAAGAGGACTGTTGAAAATTAGGGTTGTTTACAAAGCAAGAGTCATGGAATTATACTTTCCTCCTCTCCTCATCTATTTTCAAGACCAAGTTGTACAGCAGCATAACCAGGCCTTATTTATGTAGGCAGAATACTGTTACTAAAAATCTATCAGTCTAAGAGATGTCATTATCTAAACCAGAGGTTTCTCCAGGGAGTATACAATGGGATCCATATGTGTATATGAAGACTATGTTACCTTGTAAATTTTTTTAACCTATGTTATTCTAACAATGAGGGAAAATAACTTGTAATAATTTATAAGAACTGACAATACTAAGTTAGTCTGTATGATAAATGGTCATTGTTGTTTTACAGGTCTCACAAGGGAAAACTAAAAACTCCACAAATGGGAGCACTGACACTGGCACTTAACAGTTGTGTAATGATATTTCATGTGTTGCCATCCAAAATGTGTAATTTGATGAGTTTTGATAAACATGGAAACCTGTGCAACAACCACATGATTTGAGATTAAAAAAAATTATTATCTTAAAATTTATTTAATCAATGTAGAGCTGTCCTAAAAGATAAAATGTGGTGCTGCAGAGTACCTAGTTCACTCACACAGAAGATGCCTTTTGTTTAAGGTTTTAAGGTATGGCCCATCGAACTTCACAGTCAAACAATTAAAATTTCAAAAGCTTAAAGGAGTTATCCCGCACCTATTTCAAGTTAGAGTAGGGCTTATCTTGAAGCGATTTGTGGGTACGTATTTTGTCTAAGGAAGTGATTCCCGAATAAGGTTCACAGGCAACCCCAAAAGGAATTTAAGAGAGTTATATTCACAGAAACACTTTCCAAGTTTGGTCTTTAAGGGACAAAGAGTAAAATGAAAAGGGCCTTTGGATACCAATGTCTACAACTACAAATAAGGATGAAGAAACTATTCTGCTGCAAAACATGTGCTACCTTTATAAGAAAGAATTGCCCAGAGGTTAGAACAAAGAACATAGAGGGCAGAACAAAGAGCAAGAATTTTTAGTAGGCCTTGAATCCTAACCAAAAAACTACTAACATGTGTATTAGTTTACAGGTTAAAATGGAAAACTATACTTGAGTTGCTGTGTTTAAACCTCATCTACGGCTATACACACTTTAGATTTTGAGATTCTGCACTTTGAATTGATGCTGTAATTGAATGATACTTTGAATGGCCTTGGGAGGGGCTGAGTGTACTTTGCATATGAGAGGAATACACCATTGACTGGTAGACAGCCTCCAAAATGGACCACAATGTTCCCTACCTCCTGGTATTCATACTTTACATATTGTTCTTCCATGCTAAATCAAGTTTGATCTTTGTGACCAATAAATTTGACAAAAGTGATGGTATATTACTTCTGAGACTAGGTTACAAAAGACATTGTGCATTTTGTCTTCTCTCTCTCAGATTGTGTAGTCAGGGGGAAGCCAACTGCCATGTTGACCAGCGAAAAGGCTACATGGTAAGGAACTGAGGCCTCTTGAGCACCAGCAGTGAAGAACTGAGTCCTCCTGCCACAGCAAGTGAGTGAACTAGGCAGTAGATCTTCAAGTTTAGCCAAGAATTCATGACTACAGCCATTGTTGACATCCTGAGTGCAAACTAATGAGACGCCTTCAGCCATAACCCATAGGTAACTACTCTCAAACTCCTAACCATAGAAACTTTGAAATAACAAATATTGATTTAGTCTACTAGATTTTACAGCTGATTTGCTACACAGCAATATATAATTTTATGACAACTTTATATTCTTCAATGCTATTAAATTTACTGCTAATTCTGTCATTTTATTATTAACTTTTTTGTAGATTTCTTAGGTTATCTGTATAAACAAACATATCTGCTCATACATGCAGTTTTACCTTTTCTTTCAAATATTTATGCCTGTTACACTTTTTCTTGCCTCATTCCTAGCTAGGACCTCTAGCACACGTACAGCAAACGTGGTGAGTGGATATTCTTACCTTGCTGATAATATTAGGAGGAGAAGTTTCAGTGTTTTACCATCAAGTATGAATATTAGCTATAGAAGTTCCCTTGTACTACCAGTAAACTGAGGTTTATATTTTTATTTGAGCCATAAATTGGTTTTCAATTTTTCAAAGGTACTTTTTTCATCTATTAATACAGTCTTGTGCTTTTCTCTTTTTAATATTTTAATATAGTAAATTGTATTGCTTGGTTTTTGGATGCTAAAAAAACTGGAATGAAAGCAAATAGGTCATTATTTACATATTGCTACACGTATTTACTAATTTTTAAGTGACTTTTGCATCTATATTTATAAAAAAATTCTGTAATTTCCTTTTTCCTATAAGGATTTTTGCCAATTTTTTTTAATAGGCATATGTTGGCCACATAAAACAAGATGAGAAGCATAATGTGTCTCTATTTCCTGAAAATTTTTACATAATATCTGTCATATGTATTTCTTTTTTAAATAATAAAATACATTAATTTAGTACAAGTTAGGCTATTCAGATTTGCAATTTCTTATGTCACTTTGGAAAGCTGTATTTTTCAAAAAAATTGTTTTTGTCATTTATGTTAATTTTTTGCCATAATGTTCTTTGTAACCATGTCTTATTATCATGTTGATGTCTGCAGGATTTGTAGTGATTATTCCTCCCTAGATTCATTGCTGGCACTAGTATTTATGTTTCTTAATTTTTCTATAATCTTTTTTTATCAGCCTTTTTTTGAACTTTTTCAAAGAATCAATTTGGGCTTATTATTTGTTTTTAATTTTATAGAGTTTTGTTCTTTATTATGTCTTTCTACATGCTTCGTTTGGATTTAATTTGCCCTTCTTTTATTAGCTACCTTTTTTATTGATATTTCATAGTTGCACATATTTTTGGGTGCATGTGATCTCTGAATGTGTGTATACAATGTGGAGTGATTAAATCAGGGTAATTGCTATATACATCACCTCAAACATGTATCTTTTCTTTGTGTTGGGAACATTACAAATCTTCTAGCTATTTTGAAATATAACAAATTATTATAAACTATAATTTCCCAATTGTACTATTTAATACTAGAACTTTTTTCTATTCAACTGTTTTTTTGTATCCATTAACCAACATTTCAAGGAAGAAAGTTAAAGGTTACGAATTATCGCACTCTTTATTTGAATATAAACATTTAAAGTCACAAATTTCCCTGTAATTATAGTTTTAACTATATCCAGAAAATTTTGATTTGTGATATTATTATCATCATCTCATTGGAAACATTTAAAAATTTCCTTTCAGCTTTCTAAATTCGTCTGTGGGTTATATAGAAGTTTGTAATTTAATTTCCAAATATTTGATGCTTTTATAGTTATTTTATTATTTTTGATTCCTAGTTTCATTCCATTTTTCTCAAAAAATGTACCCCATAGATGTCTACCTTTTAAATTTAATGGGACTTATTGTGTGACCCAGTATATAGTGTGTCTTGACGATGTTCCACTCGCATTTGAAAATAATATATAATTATTTTATTAATTGTAGTATTCTATAAATGTCAATTGGGTTAAAAATATTGATAATATTGTTCAAGTCTTCTAGAAATTTTCTGATTTTTTCATTTAGTTGCTTTATCAATTACAGAAAGAAATGTTTTAAATTCTTCAACTGTGATTGTTAATTTGTTTATTTCTTCACTTAGTTCTGTCAGTTTTTGCATTGTGTATTGGTGAAACAAGCCATCCACATGTTTGATTGCTGTGTCTTCCTAAAGAACTGACTTTTACCATTATGAAGTATGGCTTTCTGACTGTGGTGAAATGTCATATATTTAGATCTACTCTGATACTAGTATAGTCACTCTAACTTTCTGCCATTTGATGTTTTCATGAAACTTGTTTTTCTAATTTTCCTTAAACATATTTCTGGACCAGCAAAAATAAATAAATAAACATAAAGAAGGTAGCAAAAACTTGTAATTTTGTTATTTTCAAATGATAAGTATAAAGAGAATTCTGATTATTAGACTGCTGTCTATATTTCCATGGTAATTGCTTGATTTGGATATTTCTTTACTTTATGACTCTCCACTGTGGCCATTTCCTTCTCTAATTATCCATTGCTGAAGTTCCTACCCTATAGACTTTTCTTTCCATCTCAAGATGTGCTGATAGGAAAATGTCATTTAGTTATAAAATCCTTATTAATGCCCTTTGAATCAATTACTGAAATGCAGTAAAAATAAACTCTTTAAAAATTCCCACCAAACAGTGACAAATGATGAAGTAGAAAACACTGTAAATTTTATAATGTAATTGCAAATTACGCTGAAAAAAAACCAAAAATTTTGCATTGAATATTATCCTTGAAAGTCTTAAATTATTATTCCTTTTAGGTAAAATGAAATTAATGTTTGAACTATTAGGTAGTAGAGAAAAGAAAAAGAAAAATAGATTCCAGCTCTTTAATCAATGGCGGGTCTTTTGCAAATGTTTCACAGCCCCAATATTTGCATCAACTATATGGGCCTGTAAATTATATAAATTTTCAAATAAGTAGTTCCTTGATTTTTACTTATCTGGCTATTTTGTTAGAATAGATACAGCTTATTATATCAAAATATATTTGTTTGATAAAGAGAATAGAGCAAACTAAAAGGAAGCATTAAAACAAAACCCACCTCTGTAGATATTAAACATTTTCTTTTATAGATCATAAAATTTTTTAAAAATTTAAGAAAAAGAAGAAAAAAATGATAGAGTTCTCTTCCCTTACTACAGTCATGTCTTTTCCCACTAATACTAGAGAATAAAGTGACAACAATAGAATTTCTAAAGGCCCAACATCGGTCATTTTTCTAAAAATAAAGGAGTTGAAATTTGAAGTTGCTGGGAATATGAATGTGCATTTTAATAAAAAGAAACTGATCTTTAAAAAAGGATGACAGAATTTGGAGTGTGATACTCCATTCAGATTATTAATTCTTAGCTCACCTCAAAATTAAAATCTAGGAGGTCGACAGACCATCACTAGGAAAACGGTAAGCTCAGCCAAACAAATAAGAAGTAATAATGGCTTTATACCAATAATTTTATGTTTATTAGATTAACTGATTTGTGGTTTTATAATGATTTATAGTTATCCTTTTCCTCTGAAATTGCAATGATGTTCAGTGAAAACAAAATTTTCTCTGTGTGAAAAGAGTGAGTACATATGGAAATAACCAGTCTCTAAACCTCTAGGCCTTTCTTCTAATCTGGAAGATTTAGCAGATAATTTTAAAAATACAGTTAAGGAATACCATAGCCATCTACTGCATAGAAAGATCTGAAAAAGCTTCAGGAAATTATATCTACCATTGATAGACTTGGGCATACAAATGGGTCTTGATTAAATTAAATCTAGTAATTTTTGTGATGTGTCTTTATTTCATATTCTGAGAAAAAAACATATTGTACACTTCTTTTAAAGAGGAGAAATTTACTACATACTTACTTTGATCCTCATTCCATCAAGCACTCAAGTTTATCATTTGTTTTCTGCCAACAGTTATTTTAATGGTAGCCTGGAAACAGAATGAAATCCATTTCCTTTCATTTATTTATTAATAAACACTTATTAAGCAGCAAATACCTTCCAGGTTGAGAAGATATAACAAGGTACAAGTTCACAAGATCATTTTCCTGCATCTTAGAATATCACTGGGAAAAGGAAGATTAGCAATTAAAATGAGGAGACATAAGTGCTCCAATGATAGAGGAAATATAGACTGTTATACAACCTGTAGAAGAACTTGTAAGGGCAATTAGGAAACATTTAAAGATATACAGGGACTGACTTGATCACATAATCATTTTAGCCTGACAGCAATGAGTAAATTGATTTGATAGGTGGGAAGACTAGAAGTAAGACCAGTTGTGAAGTAACTTCAGTAAAATGGACCATCATTGATGTAGGAGCAGTTGGAAGAAGAGATGCATATAAGCAGATCTGAAAAGTATTCAGGAGCAAGAATCTCCTAAGTAGAGGAAGGTTTCAGGATGTTTAATACCAACAGTCTAAAACACAATATCCTAACCCAGTGCTTTTCCAGTATACTTGGAAGAGACACTGAGAAAGTCCTCACCATTCACATGCTTGGGCCAAAGACAGGTTTACTGAAGCAGAATATTTAGAGCAATGCCTACCCATTACTCATCTCCATCTCTGGTTCCTACCCAAGATGATTCAGATACAAACACAATGTTAGATTCACTTTTGCAGGTGTATTCACTTTCAAAATTATATTTTATTGAAAGTATATATTATATATTATAAAATAGCATAACATATATAATCCCCAAACCTGGATTAGATTAATATGATTTATGTTGTTATGGTGATGGCACAAAATGGAAGAATTACTAAGTGCCAAATGAATTACTTGATGAAAATTTTTATTAAACCCAAAGTAGGTAGAATAATAAGTAATGCAATTACAGTTAATGACAAAATAACTTTTAAAAAAATCTGGAATGAGCTAATGGGATTTAACATTTTAATAGCAATCTAAGGTTGTTTAGCCAGTAATAAAAATTGCAAAATAATATTAAACATGTGATACCTCACAAAAAAATTTAGAAAGAAGTAAATTTTATAGGTAGCTTTAAAATATTACAAGTAGATCTCAGCGTTAATGCTTATATTCATTAAAATGCCATAAGTAATATGGACTATATAGATAAGAGTACTTGAAAGATAGAGTACAGGTCGAGTACCCCTTCTCTAAAAGGCTTGGGACCAGAAGTGTTTTTTGAATTTTTTCAGACTTTAGAATATTTGCATATACCTTATGAGATGTCTTGGGAACGGGACCCAACTCTAAACATGAAAGTCATTTATGTTTCATATATACTTTATAGACATAGCCCAAAGGTAATTTTATACAATATTTTTAATAATTTTATGTATAAAACAAGTGGTTTAAAGTACTTATATGTGGAATTTTCCACTTGTGGTGTCACGTCAGTGCTCAAAAAGCTTTAAATTTTGGAGCATTTTGGATTTTGGATTTTCAGATTAGGGATGCTCGACCTGTATATTTATTTAGCCTGCTGTGTAGAACTTTCCAAGGAATTATTTTTATTACTCCACAACCCTGAAACAGTTCTAGAAACTTTAGGAAAGTCATCTATTAACACTCTGTCGAGGCATCCTTCTAGCCGCTAGTCATTAACCACAACCCTAGAGCAATCTTAAACAGATTAAGCCAAAAATTTTCTGTGATCTCACTATTACTATCTCTGGATATTTTCAAATGCTATTTGTAGAAGATGTTCCCTCAAAAACAACAAAGGATAACTTGATTTGCTCACAAGAAAGGTGTACCTTTATTAGCAAAAGTGTAAAAATATCATGAATGCATTGCATTTCCACTAAGTCATAGGTTTCAAAGAGATCAATGAGAAAAAATATACAAATGCAATACTCATGTAACAAACCAAAAATCTCAAATAAAAGCATATTCTAATATGACATGTAAAAATTAAGTAATTATTTTACCTTAAAATCAAATAGGTACCTCCTGCCATTAAAAAATAATCTGTGAACTTGGCCAGGTGCGGCGGCTCATGCCTGTAGTCCCAGCACTTTGGGAGGCCTAGGCGGGCGGATCACGAGGTCATGAGATCAAGACCATCCTGGCCAACGCAGTGAAACCCCGTCTCTACTAAAAATACATAAAATTAGCCGGGCATGGTGGCAGGTGCCTGTTGTCCCAGCTACTCGGGAGGCTGAGGCAGGAGAATGGCGTGAACCCGGGAGGCGGAGCTTGCAGTGAGCTGAGATCGCGCCACTGCACTCCAGCCTGGGTGACAGAGCGAGACTCCATCTCAAATAATAATAATAATAATAATAATAATAATAATAATAATAATCTGTGAACAAAGATTGAACGATTGTGCATCATAAAAATCAGCTCAAAATAGGAATGAATTTTTTATATTAAAATATATTGTTAATCTAAATGAATATTGATATTAAACTCCAATTTAGTAATGAAATGGGAATGGAAGTTTAAAACTTCCTGGCTTAGGGAACATTTCAAAAAACAATTTTCTTTAGAGGCCTCTATTATGAATATCTTCTTAGTAGAACTGTTGTCTATGCTAATCATATAATACTATTGCTTTTCCCTGTTGATAATAAAGACCCTCTGCTCACTGAATGGGCTGCACAAACATATATTAAGTATTGTTCACTCTACATCAGCTTTAAAAAATCAATTCTCTTCAGCTTCTTCGAATACCCCTTAATAAAGAAAACCAGGTGGCAGTATAGAAACCATCTAAATATATTCTGAATATTGACTTTATAGTGAATATCACTGAATATTTTAAAATTATAAAATTAAGTACTCTAAGAAAGCCTCTTGACACCTTCTGTCAGCTCTTTCTACTTATCTTTTGCTTTAACTGATTTGTTATTAAAATTCAGACCAAACAGAGGTAAAAAGCTGAATAGTTGAGACTAGTATCTTCTAATATAACAGCTGTTACTAAGTTTGTCTTGTTCAAAGAGGATCAGGTTGCATGTTAAGCCAAAGGTGGAAGAAATTCAAACTTATCTATTCATTTGCAGGCAAATATTTATGTTGTCAGTATAGAATCATACAGTTATACACATAGTAATGTGCTAGTCAATATTTAACAACAGGCTTGCCAAAAATAAGAGGCCCTAATTTGCAGTGTTTGCCAATTTCTGAGGCATAAATACTCCCACATGGCTGATTTCAAGCTACCAAAATGACATAAATGAATCTACATGTTGGAAATCTGTACAGTCAGAATTATATAGTACTTCCACCATGTGATTCTAAAAGATGTAAATAATCTCACAAGTGTAGATAATAGTAAAACAAATAGAAAACACATTTTGAATACTGATTACCCTTTTTGAAAGTAATTGATTTAAGTTCATATAATTTATTTTGATGCCTTTGCTGAACTGCCAGCTCATATAATTTCTGAAATTCTAAGAGTAATCAAGTATAAGCATACCGCTACAGCACAACACATTATAGGATCCAGAATATCCAGAAACAAAGGCTGCCCTAGAGATATAACCTGTATGGGACACAGAGAAGGTATCTTCCAGCTTTTGTTTATGATATGGTTTGGCTGTGTCCCCACCCAAATCTCAGCTTTAATCATAATAATCCCTATGTGTCAAGGGTGGGGGAGGCAGGTGGAGATAACTGAATCATGGGGGCAGTTCCCCACATACAGTTCTCATGGTAGTGAATAAGTCTCATGAGATCTGATGGTTTCATAAATAAGAGTTTCCCTGCACAAGCTCTCTTGCCTGCCGCCGTGTAAGACGTGACTTTGCTCCTTCATCGCCTTCTGCTGTGATTGTCAGGCCTCCCCAGCCATATGGAACTGTGAGTCAACTAAATCTCTTTCCTTTATAAATTACCTAGCCTCAGGTATGTCTTTATTAGCAGTGTAAGAACAGACTAATACAGTTTATAACAGCTGATGAGAACACATTACTGGAAGCCCCAATAGTCTATGGCATTCATTTCTTTTATACTGCCTTTTTTCTTCCTGATTCAATTCTAGCCTCCAGTGGTAGCTGCTAGCATTATTATCAAAGTGTTCAAAAAGCAAATATTAGCAATCATTATAACATAGGGACCATTAATTCTAAATAATAATATTTTTCTCAATTCTTTATTAATATCTCCAATCAATAAAGATAAATCTACTTAAATATAATAGGATGTAATACAAAGACACAAATTTCAGGCTGTTGCCCTGAAATTACACTTACTTGAGAAAAATAATTTAAAATTTCTAACTCTCACTTCACATGTCTATGAAGTAATAATAATCACGGGTATACTTTGTATAGAAATCCCTCAAATAAAACAACTGTTGTAATTATAAAAATCAAACCAAAGCAAACTTGAGTCCTAAAGAATGGCTGATTTCTGGGCACAAGGGTAAAAGAATCTCATTATGCATTTTCCTGACTAGCTCACTGTTTCAGTAACTAGGCCCAAGCTGTGGGGAGGGCAACTACATTCCTTAGGCAAAATCATTCAGACCTTCAGATTGAATTTTACTGTAATTCAATTTTACTGAATTCTGATTATTGGAACAAAAATGACTAAATAAACTACTTTTATGGTATCATATAAACAAAGACCCAGTATCATTGATGTGAAATACATTTAATAGATTTCTCAATAGCTTTATAATAGCATGTAACCATAACTATATAGCTGATACTCATTTCTCCTTACCTGACAAATAGGGGGATGCTTGGGATCAATTTATTCTTTTTTAAGTATTTCGTAAACTCTTACAATTTTAAGGCTAAAGAGTACCTTATAAACCAGAACTTCAAAACACTCATTTGACATATGAAAATAGCTAAGCTCCAAGAGGAAACCTGACCCCTGCCCAATGTCATGTAGTTAATTACTGACAGAGCAGGGTCTAACCACGTCTGCAGACTTCATTGTCTACCAGCACTGAAGGACATTAATCTTAGAGGAAACCATTACCTCTTGAAGAACTCTCTTCATCTTTAATAATAACGTCTTGACTGCCGTGCAGTCCTGTAACATCAGTCTGAATGGCAGAGAATCTATGCCTCCGTTTTCTTCCACACCTTGTAGAGGCCAATCCGCAGATGGACTGTTGGGCATTCGGCTGATGTGGGAACACCTGGCTTCTTGATCAACGTCCTTTGTTAATTTCAGGGAAAGATTCCTAACAAGAAAAAAAAAAAGAACAAAAATTACAGTGCAGCATGCTTAGAGCAGTATTTCCCAAGTTGTTAATCAATGTTTCTAGTATCCTAGAAAGTATTTCTTGTGTCCTCATTTCATGATATTAGTTTATTTATTTATTTATTTTTTGAGATGGAGTCTCACTCTGTCCCCCAGGCTGGAGTGCAGTGGCGTGATCTTGTATTCTTAGTAGAGATGGGGTTTCACTATGTTAGCCAGGATGGTCTCAATCTCCTGACCTCGTGATCCGCCTGCCTTGGCCTCTCAAAGTGCTGGGATTACAGGCGTGCACCACTGCTTCCATCCTCATGATAGTAGTTTTTTAAAATTTTCACACATTCCAGTAGAAATTATGAAATGGTTCAAATATACATTTAGTGGTAAGATTCAATGAAAATTACTGTTTTAGGATATAATCTTTCCATTAAAAAAATTGTTTCCATTTTTAAAACCAAAAGACCTATCCAATAATGATAATTAATATTGTAACATACTTCAGAATATTTATAAAAACAGTTTAGGGCTTCTGCTTAATTTCAATACTATACATATATTTCTGAATTATATTATTTTCTTACATAATATATTTTTATATCATATAATTTTCTGAATTATATGACAAGATACTTTAGCAACCTAAATAGAGAAAAAACAAACAGATGCTCTGGCGCTTGCCACCAAGGTCAGGCAATAATACAGATAAGAAAATATATTTTAATTAATTTTATTCACATCTCATTATTCACAAACAGAATAACTGAATTTATAAATTACTAGATAATTAGTAAACACATTTTTGAATAATATTCAACTGTTTACTTATCTTCACAGATATGTTCAGTGGTTCAATTGTCCTGTGAAGGGATAAGATAATAATTACTACCTCCATTTTATATCTATAATGAAATAAGGAATAAAAAATTATGGCTAACATTTTTTGAGGGTTGACTATTGGCCAAGTACTGTGCTAACCACTCCATGTGTGTTAATTCATTCAAACTTTGAACAACTTCAAGAGGTAGATGAAATAAAGTACAGATAAGTAACTTTTCTTGGAGTTAAAGAGTTAGTGAGAAATGGATGTAAAATGAAATAACCTAGGATTTTGCCCCCTACTAACTACATAATGTGCATGCATATAATAATAGCTAATATTTATATAGTTCTTATTGAACCTCAGGCAGTCATGTAATGTCCTTATAGGTGTTAAATCATTTAATTCTCACAACAATTCTTTAAGGTTAGTACTATTATAATATCCATTTCCCAGTGGGGTGATTTGAGTCAAGAGAGGTTAAGTAACTTGCTGATGGTCACACAGCTAACAAAAGACATTGCTGAGGTTTGAATGCTGGCAATACATACTTAGCTCTAAACCACAACAGTGCTGCATTTTGTGTGGAAAACAAGCATGCAAATGAACAAAACAGTATACTTACAGTTATACTAAGAATCATTAACATTTTCACTTTAAAGTGTATATTTTATCTGATACGATTGATTCAATTTAATTATATTATGTCTAATTGCAACGAACTATACAGTCATTCTTAAAGCCTTCCGTTTAGTGTTAATGCTTTCTATGGCTATTTTCTCTAAGACCAATAAGAATAAAATCAAGTATAAAAATTAGAAGTCACGGTAGGTATATATTAAATTAGAGTAGTACTTTAGTTATAATCGAATTTTTGAAGTGTATCATTTTTAAGTTGTGAACTTGCCTGCTATTTGGCATATATTAGGCTGACTCAGTAAATAGTTGTATAATTGAAATTGAATAGATAAATACAATAATGGGTGAATAAATAAAACACAATTTGTTGTAATCATCGACGCATACAACTCATACAGAAAAATTTTTCTGTATTGTGAATTGTTATGAATTGCGGGGCTCCTGTCCATGGCTCTAAGTTTCCTGCCACAATTACAATAAAATTTAAATTATATTTCTATAATTCCTGTTAGTTAGCGTGCTGGCTCTTTAAAATTATTTGGTCAGTCATGGATCTAAACACCCATGAGGACTGACACAACTTTCAGGAATCATATTCGTGTGAAGTTCTAACACTGTATTTCAGGGAATTTACTGAGGCTCTGGAGATTATAATTTAACATTCACAAATTTGAATATCTTTGCCATTTTCAAATAGCTAAGATGAGCCATGTACAGAAATGCATTTTGAAAATAAAATTAGTCATTTTTTCATACTTCAATAATTTGAATATATTTTTAATCCCAAAAGGAAAAGATGATGGCATTTTTTTCCAAAATTATTGAAAACATCCACATTGTGTCCAGCAGAGCAGTGATGGCTGAAGTTGCAGAGATTAATAGGATTCTGTCACTGACTTTAAGAGGTTCACCACAATTATTAACTTTTTAGTAGTTGATACCAAAAAAAACTAATATTCTTTCACATATGAGAAACAAATCAATTTATCTCAAAACATTTTATCTCTACATGAAAAAATAGATCTGCTACAAGGCTATGGTAATCAAAACCATTCTTAATTAGGTTGAAACAGTTAGTGAAAGATCTGTTAAATGGGGTTGCCACTCAGCTGCAAAGGCCGGCACAGCCATCCTGTTTTATGCTGATTGCCATTGTCTTTCTGATTGGTTGGTGCCCATGGTTTACAGTTGTTCAATGTATTGAATATTAATGTTTTGATCAATAGCCATTATTGGGCAGAAAAATACCCAAGTGTCTCTGGGTAAATTCACCTAAAATTATCCTTGTGGTTGACAAGAAAATGAAGAAAAATCTCTAATACGAAGCCATATTTTCCTCTAGCACAGACAACATATTAAGGCTGGTGAGGGGAGAAAAAGATTCAGGTGCTCTTCTGTTCTTGCATTTAGCAGGGTTCACTGGATAATACAATTCGTTCACTTGGGGATATATAACTCTGTCTGCCAACTCTGAATTATTATAGTTTCAAGAAATTGAACAAATGTGCTTTATATCACCAAAGATAGTCCTTTAACTTGGCAAAAAAAGAAAGAGTATGATACTGAAGCTGGATACAGTGGTTCATTAATCACCATAACTACTCCAAACAAAAAACAAAGACAATGTAATCTCCGCTGAACACATTTATATACAGTTCATCCTCTCTGTGTCAACTTCATGAATCTTCAGTGAAATTGTTAGTAATATTTACACATGCCTCGTTGCTTATGAGTGCTAACCAAGTTTTTATAATTTAAGATTTAGTAACATTTAAAGTTTGAGACATACAGACTTTTCTAAGTCCATAAGTACCAAAATAACACAGGTTTTGGATAAGATTAATAGCAAATCCCATAAATGTTATATTAAGTGGATTTTCGAATGAGTAGAGGATTTGAGACTTTCAACTGATACTTAACACATTTAAGTTAAACTACGATGGTGAACTGGCTTTGCACTTTTCTCCCTGGGATCCTTTGTGTGAAAGGAATTTCTTATCAAACTAGTTCAAAAGTTCTGCTGTAATTCTCTCGTCAGTATGGCAGACAAGTTTAATGGGAAAACATATATCTTGACACAAACTACAGGGAAACTGAAAGGTTTTCCTTACCTGAGAGAGAAAGTAAGAATATTTTTATGATTTTTTTTCTCACTTAGCTATAACTAAGTAGTATCATTGGGTAGTTAGAATTTCCTCTGCCCACAAGTGCTCTTCAAATCATTTGAAAACTTCTTAATAAAATGGCCCAAATGACTATCAAAATACAAGATCATGTCAGTTGCATAGCATTGATCCCATTATCTGTCATAGGAACCTTTCCTTATTTAGTGCAATGACATCTTTCATTATAGGGAATGTCTATGGCCAAAAGCATCTCAATGATTTACACTTTATAATGTAACTGTGATTTCTGAACCAAATTTCCAAAGAACAGAAAAGTAAGTAACCCCTATTTACCTGGCATAATAAATAAGCATATGCACACAACTGCCTTCCAAAGCTTCATTAAGTAGAGCTGCAGAAAATAATAACTTTTAAAAACCTTAGCTTAGGATACTTACTGTTGTTTCAACTTCATTTTAAAAAGGTTCAGGTTATTTACGGTGAGTTTAATCCTAGCTTGAATAATTCTAAGACCAGCACAATGACATAAATCTATATTAATGAACTAGCATTCCCAGAACCTAACAGAAACTATCTGTTTAAGGACCTACCTACAAAAAGGCTGTTGATTATGAATAACTTATATTTTTCATTTTTCCTTTCCAAATATATTGTCTGTCTGAGAGTGTTATTTTAGGAAAACACTTGTATCTCAAATTATTCTGTAACTGAATGTTTCATCGTATTTCCAGAAGAGATGCAATCAGCATTTCCCTCTATAGTAAGTGTAGTGGTTATAAGAACTTAACAGTACATTTAGATAAAATTTACATTTAGATAAAAATCTACATGTGACAAGTTATTTCACCACTACCTGTGATATGGGGAAAAGCAAGATAGAATTCAAATATCTTAACATAGCCAACAAGGTTGTTTCATGGTCTAGAAACTGTCTCTCTCACAAAACCTCATCTCTTAACAGCTGCCTCTTTGCTCTTTGAGTTCCAAACACATTGGCCTTCATTCAGGCGCTGAAATGTGCCAAGTTCCATCCTGCCTCAGGGCCTTTGCATATGATGTTCTATCTCCATAAAAAAAAAATCCTGCCATCCTGGCCGGGCACAGTGGCTCACGCCTGTAATCCCAGCACTTTGGGAGGCCGAGGTTGGGGGATCATGAGGTCAGGAGATCGAGACCATCCAGGTTAACACGCTGAAACCCTGTCTCTACTAAAAATACAAAAAAAAAATAATTAGCCGGGAGTGGTGGCGGGTGCCTGTAGTCCCAGCTACTCTGGAGGCTGAGGCAGGAGAATGGCGTGAACCTGGGGGGCGAAGCTTGCAGTAAGCCGAGATTGCGCCACTGCACTCTGGCCTGGGCGAAAGAGGGAGGCTCCGTCTCAAAAAAAAAAAAAAAAAAAAAATCCTTTACCCATCTTCAGATCTTCCCTTATAAAACATCAGCAAAATACCATCTCACACCAGTTAGAATGGTGATCATTAAAAAGTCAGGAAACAACAGGTGCTGGAGAGGATGTGGAGAAATAGGGACACTTTTACACTGTTGGTGGGACTGTAAACTAGTTCAACCATTGTGGAAGACAGTGTGGCAATTCCTCAAGGATCTAGAACTAGAAATACCATTTGACCCAGCCATCCCATTACTGGGTATATACCCAAAGGATTATAAATCATGCTGCTATAAAGACACATGCACACGTATGTTTATTGTGGCACTATTCACAATAGCAAAGACTTGGAACCAACCCAAATGTCCATCAACGATAGACTGGATTAAGAAAATGTGGCACATATACACCATGGAATACTATGCAGCCATACAAAGGACAGTTCATGTCCTTTGTAGTGACATGGATGAAGCTGGAAACCATCATTTTCAGCAAACTATCGCAAGGACAAAAAAACAAACACCGCATGTTCTCACTCATAGGTGGGAATTGAATAATGAGAACACTTGGACACAGGAAAGGGAACATCACGCACCGGGGCCTGTCGAGGGGTTGGGGCAGGGGAAGGGATAGTATTAGGAGATATACCTAATGTAAATAAGGAGTTAATGGGTGCAGCACACCAACATGGCACATGTATACATATGTAACAAACCTGCACGTTGTGCACATGTACCCTAGAACTTAAAGTATAACTAAAACAAACAAACAAACATCAGGTCGCCAGAGAAACCTCTGCAGCTAGTACCCCACTCTTAAAAAATACACAGGTACCTCTTTTATATGGTAAGACTTCATTTTTAATGCTTATCACAGATGCATTTTAAAAAACTAATTTGAGGGGACCTCTAAGAACACATTTGAATGAGCTGATCTACACTCCACCTCATGTTCCAAATACAAAGAAATGCTAAATAACTTACAACCACATTTATTTTAAAACATATTACAGTACAAAAGGAAAAGCCAGATGAACTTCCAGGTGCCATATGAAAGAAAGCAAAATAGAAATAATTATACAAATTGCCACTGTGGTAGTGTCAGGGTATTGAACTTGCATGAGGTTTCTAAAAACAGAGGCTGCAGCAATTTTTACGCCTATGCAGATAAAGGAGAAGATCTGCCACAGACAAAGGAGACTCGTAGTGCTGATAGACATAGAGTTCCAAACTTTAAAAAGGCTCAAAAATTCACTTGATCCTACTAGTAAATTAACTACCTGCTGGAATAATTCTATACTTTCTCTAAAGGAAGACAATAAAATACAGACTCTGAAAAACATGTCATCCATTCATGTGTGTCAAATATTCCAATAAGTAGGCATGCAAAGAAGCAGAAAAACAATTTACAGACAGACACTAAAAATGAGATGACCCATATATTGAAATTAGCTGACAAGAATTTTAATCAGCATTATAAATATGTTCAAGGTCTATTAAAAATGGTAATAACAAAAAAACAAATGGCAAGTCTCAGCAGAGAAAAGGACATTATAAAGATGAAAAAAAAAAAACCCAGAAACTTGGAAACCAATTGATAACATTTCTGAAAGGAAAAAAATATTATGTGCAGACATTGTTGGCTGCCTACCCACTATTCATTTTATACCTCCTTCCTGCTTCTTTCAAAAACAAAACTTCTTAATTTGTTTAAAGGCTGGTTCTCCTATGACTCAGATAAATAAGACAAAGAGTGAGGTAGGAGGGCTTCAGGAAAACATTTCCTCCCTGGCAAAAAAGAAAAAAAACACAGAAAAATTATAGCTATTTTCCTTTGGATGTTGTTTTGTCTTGATATATTGCCTGGAATGATTGGTGTATCCCACAAAAGAGAGGAGAGTCAGCTGTAAAAAACACTGGTGGCCGGGCAGGGTGGCTCACACCTGTACTCTTGACAGTTTCGGAGGCCGAGGTGGGCAGATCACTTGAGGTCAGACGTTCAAGACCAGCCTGGACAACATGGTGAAACCCCCTCCCTACTAAAAATAAAAATACAAAATTAGCCAGCAGTGTTGATGCACGACCATAATGTCAGATACTCAGGAGGCTGAGGCAGGAGAATGGCTTGAACCCAGGAGGTGGAGGTTGCAGTGAGCTGAGATCGCGCCACTGCACTCCAGCCTGGGCAACAGAGTGTGTGAGACTCCGTTTAAAAAAAATAAAAGAAAGAAAGAAAAGAAAAGAGGTCATTGTTTCTTGTAACTAACCAACTTGGGGATTCCCTACCTCTTCTTGTTAGACAAGATTATGTTTTTGGGTTTTTTGTTTTTACTGTTTAATAATCTTTGTGTTAGGTTTGTCTTTTACTTGAAGGGGAAGGCATTCTAACTGGGATAATGGCTAAAGGATATATTCCAGTAAGAAAGACATTAAATCTAGAAGTAAGGGTGAAATATCATAATTAACTGTGTAACTATTTATTTCTATATTTGAAACTACGATGATTCAAGGAGGTAACAGGGACAGTACTTGTGTTTCTTGTTCATCAATGTATCCACAAAACCTTGCACAATTCTATGTAATACTCATATAAATAGACTAATCAAATTTAGTATAGAAAAAGAATAATAGTCCATCATGTATAATATCTCCATTTAATATATAGGAAAGCTCAAGCCTAAATTAATTTTCTAACTGTCACACAGAGACTGTGAAATTCTGGTTTCCTGACTTCTAGTCCAGTGTTCTTTTACCATATTGTATCATCTCTTAATAGGGTTACATTTTTAAATACACTTGTATTTATCTATTCTATTTTCACTGAAGCTAGAATAGTGAAATATTATTAAGTTACAGTCTTAGGGAATTAGATTAAATAGTAACGACTCCCACTATTCACTAAAATTAGTTTCCTTGTCCAAAATTTTATTAATTTTATTTTTACACCTATTTTGGTGCTTATTTTTAACTTTGTCCAAAATTTTAGAGAAAGTATCCTATGAGCATAAAACTGATCATACAAACTCCGCAAGTTCTGGCTTAGTCTTAAAAAGAGAAGGTTGACGTGACTGTGTATGTTCAGTACCTTTTCTCCATGCCATTAATGTCATGAGTATTTTTCTCTCCCATTTTCTACTTTCATATTCACATGTGACTTGAGATCCAGGTTAAGGAGCATTTCACTTATGAAAAGAATCAGAATTAATGAATGTAGAGATGAAAGTACAATCAGGTTGAACAAAAAAAATCCAAATTATTGTTTAAAAATTCTATACACATAAAGATACACACCAAATCTGTTTACACACACATACATATTTCTCATTTTCTAATTAATTATTTAATTGGAGGTATTGTATGCCTGTAATCATGCTATTATTGAAGTAATAATACATTGGGTTTCTTTCCCAGAGCACTAAAACTGACAGAAAGTTGAGAGCACAAAATCATCAAAGACATTTCATATAGATGGAAATAAATCAAACTCTTATTTACTGCCCCCTAATATTTATAGAAGTTGTTCGTAACTTACAAAATATCACAGGTTGGCGGGTCTTCCTATGTCTAAGAGGTATCAAACAAATTTTTTTTAATCTAAAATTATTTCTCCTTAGCCCTTCATGCAATTCATCATATAAACAACATAAATCATCTGCTGTGTTGGAACACTTTTATTTTATACATTTTCCAAACTGCACATTTTTCTCTTGCGGGGATCAGGAATATTTTCCCACCCTCTCATTCACCACTATATGGAAGAGTAATTTTATTTGGGAAATTTTAAATTACAGAAGAAGAGTAATGAGTTTAACAAAATCTCATCTGAGGAATAATTATTTCACGATGATACTGAAGAGCTTTCAAAATTTGCTAGAAGTTCAGTTCCATTGTAGTTTTTACTATATTTACTGTCAAATACATTTATAAAGATGAAAAACCTCTAAAAAGGGAAATAATTTTTACTATATTAAATATTCTATTTAACATTTGGTTGAAAACAACATTTTATAAATATATTATAGATAATGAGTATTTTTATTTTGTAGTTACCTATAATGTAGATCTTACAGTTATGGGTTAAGTATTTTTGGCTTTTTAACTTACATACTATATTTCATTTGAAATATGTTTAGTGGAAGAAATATATAAGATAATTCATTATTCATTTTATTTTTGCTTTTTGAAATAAAGGCTTTTTTTAAGTCACAAACTCCAGGTCTAAAGTGATTTACTTATTATGAACTTCTTATCAACAATAAGAGTTTTATACTTGCAGTGTAACAGAATAAGATGAGAATCATCATTTATTATGAAAATACATTTATTTTAAATGCCACTTGTTACCTACCTTCTTCCCTTCCCTTTAATATCAGAATAATGAGCCACAAAAATACCAGTGCCTTGCTTACTTCACATCCATATCATGTAATAAATTTGATTAATCTTACAGGACCAAACTACTAAAATAAAATCGAGCCTATTTCATTATCACATAAAATAGTTAGAACCTAATATTATTGCTTTAAGAGCTAGTATGCAAAATTTTTATAGCCATTTGAAGAATGCACAAAATGGGAATTTAGATATGATTTATGAAAAACATTATTAAAAATATTACTGTATGTATATTTGCTTCTGATAATTTGTGTTATAATATTCAAGATGTGGCAATCTAAGAGCTATAAGTGTTAGCCAAAAAATTATAGTCTAGAAAATAATGTTTCTAAAAAGAAAATTGTTGTCCTGTAATTTGGCATAAAGGTAATACCTAAAAGTATTGGCATAATCCATAGTGGCTAGGAAACTAAAGCTTCCAATACTTTTCAAAGGTAAAGACTTGGTGCTTATGACTTTGAGATTACAACTTTGAATAAATCTTTAGGGTGACAGAACTTTATCAATTTGAGAAAGATTAATAAAACCTACATTAATCTTCCCAATCAGATTTCATACATTCCATTCTAAAAGTAACAAAAGGACTTGTGATATATGTATTCAATTTCAACTAGAAACAGATTTTCCATATTACACCAAGTCAAGGATTCCAAAATGCCTTGACATACCCACTCACAGCCACACACACAAAAATCATCTAGATTACTTTCAAATAAGGAATGAAAAACATAATATGGTTTATACATAATTATATACAATAGAACTGTCAAAGTATGAACATCTGTTGCAAGGAACAAACAAAAAAATCCTTGAGATTAGTAAGAAAATCTCAGGCTAGACCTCAGAAGGGATAACATGAAGACAGAATGTCATCGCTGAACTAATTTAAACGATTCAGTTTAAAGTAGCTGAATTACTTTCCATTATTCATCAGTATAGCACCAACATAGACAAATACTACAATCATATGTATAAACATGATACATGGCTATAAATCATAAGGTTAGATAAGTTAGAAGCTGCAAAATGTTTTAGGTTTCTGTTGATGAATCTTTTCCTAACTCCTTTCTCAAAGACACAGACACTAAGATGGTTGGACTCTTATCTTTGTGCTTCAATATATTTTTCTTTGACTGTTATCTCAGTTTCTTTATTTCTATGCTGAAGTATACTTGACATTTAAAACCAGATAACAGTGGTTGCTGGTGGCATAGGATGGTTTTTCTTTTACACAAGCAGCAGAAACACAGATTGGTATCAACATTGAATTGTCTTTGAAACAGAGATGAGAATAAAAACTCAGCCCTCTTCTTAATACAACCAAAGAAGAGGTGAGAGAATAAAAGCTCCATTTTGCTCTTTCCTCTTCAGAGATAACTGCCCATTTAGAAAGGATAACAGAAAAAAAAATAATTCCCCCCAATAAAATCAAGTTCCATTCCTAAGACATACCTCCACCAAATAATCGTACTACGTTGTTTTATATGTATTGTTTCATACATATGAAACATATGTCTGAAAAGAATAAACTGTTCTGAAAAGAATAAATTGTTTTATGTGTAATAATTGTATTTTAAATTATGTCACCTTTAGAGATATTTTAATAATCAATTCTTATATTAACATTTTCCTAGGTGTAGAGACTGAACAGGATACACACAGCAAAACAGAACTTTAAACCCAGAGTCTGGCTCCAGAGTGTGAGTCCTAACATTTCCACTCCCTTCAGAGACAGCCACTTGGCGAAATCCTCGATAAGCTTCTTAAGCCAAACTCTAAAAGCCATGAATACATACTGATTAGAGGATATAAGCTAGTTTCACCTCAGAGTAATTCCTATAAGCTCTTTTATTTGTATTTAACCTAAAACATTTTTTCTCTCTCTCCCTTTTATTTTATTTTATTTGTGTGTGTGTGTGTGTGTGTGTGTGTGTGTGTGTGTGTGTGTGTGTGTGTGTGTGAGACAGAGCCACACTCTGTGGCCCAGGCTGGAGTTCAGTGGCCTGTTCTTGGCTCACTGCAACCTCCGCCTCCCAGGTTCAAGCAATTCTCCTGACTCAGCCTCCCAAGTATCTGGGATTAGAGGCGTGTGCTACCACACCCGACTAATTTTTTTATATTTTTGGTAGAGATGGAGTTTCACTCTGTTGGCCAGGCTGGTCTTGAACTCCCCTGACATCAAGTGATCCTCCCACCTTGGCCTTTCAAAGTGCTAGGATTACAGGTGTGAGCCACTACACCCAGTCTAAAACATTTTTTCTCTTATTCTTCGACAGTTTGTTAGAAGAGTGTAACATACTGGAAATTTTAACCAAAAACTACTTTATTAAAAAAAAGTTTCCTAGAATCATTGAAATTAATAATTTTGGTATACAGGCATACCTCAGAGATATCATGGGTTAGGTTCCATGCCACTGCAATAAGCAAATATTTCAATAAAGGAAGTCACACAATTTTTTTGCTTTCCTAGCACATATAAAAGTTTGTGTATACTATACTGTATTTTATTAAGCGTGCAATAGCATTATGTCTAAAAAACAATGTACACGCCTTAATTTAAAAATAATTTATTGCTAAAAAATTCTAACAATCACCTGAGCTTTCAATGAGTCCTAATCTTTTGCTAGTGAGAGGTCTTACCTCCATATTTATGACTGCTGACTGATCAGGGTGGTGGTTGCTGAAGGGTGGAGTGGCTGTGGCAATTTCCTGAAATAGGGCAACAATGAAGTTTGCTGCATCTAGTCACTCCCTTTCACAAAAGATTTCTCTGTAGCATGCAATTCCATTTGGTAGCATTTTACCCAGAGTTAAACTTCTTTCAAACTTCGTATCAATCCTCTCAAACCCTGCCCCAGCTTTATCCACTAAGTTTAGGTAATATTCTAAATTTTTTGTTGTAATTTCAACAATATTCACAGCATATTCACTAAGAGTAGAATCTATCTCAAAAAAAGAAAAAAAAAAAACAACACTTTCTGTGCTCATCTACAAGAAGCAACCGTTATGGGATTACAGCAATTCAGTTACATATTCAGGGTCCACTTCTAATTCTAGTTCTCTTGGTGTTTCCACCACATCTGAAGTTACTTCCTACACTGGTCTTTGTAGTCTTGAACCCCTTGAAGTCATCCATGAGGGCTGGAATCAACTTCTTCCAAATTTGTGTTGATGTTGATATTTTGTCCTCCTCCCATGAATTACAAATGTTCTTAATGGTATCTAGAATGGTTCTTTCCAGAAGATTTTTAATGTATTTTACCCAGATCAAACAGAAGAACCACTCTCTCTGGCAACTCTAGCCTTACAACGTGTATTTCTTAAATATGAAGACTTGAGCATCAAAATTCCTCAACGATCCATGAGCTACAGAATGGATGTTCTGTTAGACGGCATGAAAACAACTTTAATCTCCTCATACCTCTCCATCAGAATGCTTGGTTGACCAGGTGCATTGTCAATGACCAGTAATATTTTTAAAGAAATCTTGTTTTTTTCTGAGCAGTAGGTTTCAACAGTGGGCTTAAAATATTCAGTGTTCCATGTTGTAATCAGATGTGTTGTCATCTATGCTTCGTTGCTTCATTAATTGAGCACAGACATAATTCTTAAGGGCCCTACAATTTTCAGAATGGGAAATAAAACTTGGCTTCAACTTAAAGTCAAGAGCTGCTTTAGTCCCTATCAAGAGAGTCAGCCTGTCCTTGGAAGCTTTGAAGTCAGGCATTGACTTCTCTCTAGCTATGAAAGTCCCAGATGGCATCTTCTGTCTGTTTTGTCTACCTTGAAAATCTGTTTGCCAGTGTAGCCACCTTCATCAATGGTCTCAGTGAGATTTTCTGGATAACTTTCTGTGCTTCTACATTAGTGCTTGCTGCTTTACCTTACACTTTTATTTTATGGAGATAGCTTCTCTCCTTAAATCTCATGAACCAACCCCTGCTAGTTTCCAGCTTTTCTTCAGCAGCTTTTTCACCTCTCTCAGCCTTCATAAAATCAAAGAGAGTTAGGGCTTTTCTCTGGATTAGGCTTTGGCATAAGGGACTGTAATGACTGATTTGATTTATCCAGACCACTAAAACTTTCTCCATATCAGCAACAAGGCTGTTTTATTTTCTTATAATTCCTGTGCTCACTGAAGTAGCACTTTTAATATCTTTCAAGAACTTTTCCTTTGCATCCACAACGTGGCTGTTTGTCAAAAGATGCCTAGCTTTTGACATGTTTTGCTCACCAAGCTTAATCATTTACAGCTTTTCACGTAAATTTAGAGAAATGTGACTCTTCACTTGAACATCTACAGGGCATTGTAGAATTGATCTAATTTCAATATTGTTGTGTCTTAGGGAATAGGGAGGCCTGAGGACAGGGAGAGATATAGGGGAATAGCCAGTCAGAACACACACATTTATCCACTGAGTTTGATTTCTATATGGGCACAGTCCATGGCACCTCAAAACAATTACAATAGTAACATCAAAGATTGCTGATCATAGATCACCATAACTAATATAATAATGAAAAAGTTTGAAATCTTGTGTGAATACCAAATTGTGGCACAGAGACACAGTGAGCACAGGTTGTTGGAAAACTAGCACCGATGGACTTGCTTGACAGACGATTACCAAAAACCTTCAATTTGTAAAAAATGTAGTATGTGGGAAGCACTGTGTAAAGCAAGGTGCAATAAAATGAGATATGCCAGTATTTAAACCTGAGTATCTGTGATCCAATGGAGATGTTACAGGAGCACTGTTAAATAAACTATTCATGTTCTTAGAGCCAACTTCTTAGAAGCTGGTCACAGGAGTGTAAGAAAGGATTTTTATTTTTTTATTTCCATGTGAATGTCTGTTTGTTTTTTCCTGCACAGGAAGAAATCACGTCCTTTGTTAACAGTTCCTTTATGTTCCTTCGAGAAACTCCTTACTCTTCTCCATGATTGCATGCAGTCTTGCTAAACAGGGTCCCATGCTCTCTTCCCCTGTGGCTATAGCTGCCATAGATAGTGATTCTTCTGATGAATTTAGGCAAAGTAAACTGAAAACCTTCTGGAAAGAATTCACCATTCTAAATCCCTAGATTATGGTTCCCAGAAGTGTGAATCTTTAGTAGCAACAAAGGACGAAGACAGAAAACCATAGTAGCTGATTTATACTATGGAGCTTATCCATTAATTCCTGCCACCCATGGTCAGATTCATGAACTTGTGAGATGCCCACCTCTTGAAAGGATACTACATTTGGTAATATATTCTTCTGTCACCATCTTGAAATTTTCAGTGATTTCTGAACAAGTAGTACTACATTTTCATTTTGCACTGGACCCTTCAATTATGAGGCTAGCCCTGCTTCTATCTCAGTTCTCTAAGATTCCCATCTTTTGCCTGACTTGAGTGCTGTTTAGCTTTTCATTTCTGTGTGCCTCTTCATATCCTTCCAATAACCAGTTTTTTTTCTTTTTTTCATGAAGTGAGCAAAAGTAGGTTTCTGGGACTTGTATCAAAGAACTGTATGTTATACTTTTGGGCACACCTAAGACTAAAGTATAAATGTAGTACAAGGTTCTTCCAGTGCCTGTGTACCGTTGGGTGTATTCCTGTCATGCCCCTTTGTGATCTCTGAGTTTGCTTTAGAGTATTATTGTTCCCTGGATACTCAGAATTCATTATTGGGTTGCTGTATTTCATTTAATTCTAAGTCAGAGGCCAGTGACTTTTTTTAACTTCCCTGTCAAAATACACCAATGCTATGCCCTGGCCCTCACCACTCTGACCCTTCTTAGGTAATTAATCCAGCTAATATGCTGGTGTCTGATAAGAGACTGGTATAACATTTTATTTTAACAGAGTACGTATTATCCAAAAGGAATAACTCCACACACAAACATTAAGGGGATTATGTCTGCAAAAGATAGCCTTTTTATGGTATTTGGTTTCTCAAATACTACTATATAGGGAGCCATATATTCTGTCTACAAGTTTCTGTTGCATTTGGAAGCAAAAATACATAAGCTATTCTAAGACTGACCTTTTTACACTAGGGAGAATGAAGTGGCTTGGAGGGAAGCAACAGAAAATTATAAGAATTTTGTTTTAATGTGGAATTTCTCTGCTTTAAAAATGGAGTTGCATATGTCATAAATCTAATAAGTTTATCTTATACTGCCTAAGTTTCTTTTCATTGGTAGTTCCAACACATTAATGTTTACTCATTTTCTGTCTTTGTTCATGAGAAAGGCTAAAACTGATGGCTGCTTTCTGTGATTATCTTGTCTTTTAAGTGATGAAATATACCCCGTTCTCCAAATACCCTGTCCTACTGAATTATCAACAAGAAATTTAGATTATGCTTTCCACCATTAAAAAATAATAATGATCTTTTTAGTATTCCACCAATGTTCCCAATAGTTTCTCTCTAAAACTTTTCTATAAACTAAAATTTTACCTTGAGATAAACAAAAACTTCATGTGGAACTAAATAGTTTATTTTTTTGTTGTTGTTTTAAGTCTTAAGGTATTTTATTTGTAAATAAACTCAGCAATTTTAAATTACATTTTATTGAACACGCAATTAAAATATTTGTTATTGGCATGTCTACAGCTATCATTTAAAAGAAAATCAAAGTGAAAATAAGGTAAATAAAAGAGATATATTAAGAAAGAGTGTAAAAAGTCAGGAAAAATTTGAGTATCTGATATCTGTGAGAAAGTTTCTATAATAAATGTGCTAATCATATTTAAGAGGCCAAGTATATCTCCCTTTAAGATATTAAGACTCCTTTTCATGCCACGTGAGTGGTTTTATTTTGAGGATAACAGAAATAAGCTGTATATATAATTTTAAATATATAATATATATAAAGCCTGTTTCTACATATATTAAAGTATTATTTTAAATATATAATATATATAATTATATATTATATCCTGTTCATCCATATATGTATTTAGTGAATGAACAGGAAATAACTTTCTTCATATGAAATGGTATTATAGAAATATCCTTAAGAGGTTTGGCTTATTAATTAATACACACAAAAATAAAATATACCAATCATATAAGAACTTACATTTTAGAAAAAAAAAAATGTGTTTCAGTTTTTAAATACCAGGTAGCCTAGACATTAGCAAATGGATATCTTCTACCCCTGGGATCATTTTATTCTCTCAAAGCAACCAACTGAGATTTGAATAAATCCAACTGATCTTATAAGGATATCAAGGCTTCAAAGGACTAAAGCACTGTGCCTTCAACCTCTGGTTCACATACTAAAAAGATCTACTGAATTTACATGTTAGCAGTCATATATCACAAGAAAGAGAGTAGAATAAAGTGTTTGCAACCAAATAGCCCAATCATTAAATAAAGGCAACAGAGCTTCATTTTTTTCAGTAATTTTGTCATTTGACAGCTTTTTTCATTTGCTTGTTAAGAATATGAACTGGGCTGGGCGCGGTGGCTCACGCCTGTAATTCCAGCAATTTGGGAGGCTGAGGCGAGTGGATCACCTGAGGTCAGGAGTTCGAGACCAGCCTGATCAACATGGTAAAACTCTATCTCTACAAAAAAAAAAAAAAAAAAAAGAAAAGAAAAGAAAATTAGCCAGGCATGGTGGCGGGCGCCTGTAAACCCAGCTACTCAGGAGGCTGAGGCAGGAGAATTGCTTGAACCTGGAAGGGGAGGTTGCAGTGAGCCAAGATCACGCTATTGCACTCCAGCCTGGGCAACAAGAGCAAAACTTGGTCTCAAAGAAACAACAACAAAAAAAGAATATCAACTGATGGCAATCTTCTGAGTTTCAAATTTTTCTCATCTCATTAATGTAATGAGATAAAGGTCGATCTGCCTTCTGTACACTCTAGCGCTATTCAATGCATATTAATAAATTTGATAATATTTGCCTTCATTGTTATGTGTGTAGCTTTTCACATAAAAATATGATGTTCATCATAATACTAACATGAAGTTTATTGTTGTACTGCTTAATTATTGATTTGACTTCTATGTATTCTCATAGTTTTAAAAGCAAATCACTCAAGTGGTAGACTAGCCTAAAATTTTTCTTTTCTAGCAACTGAAGATCAATGGCCTCACTGTCAGATGTCAGCCTTAGAAAGCAAAAAGAGCTAAAATATTTATATCATATGTATCTATTTATACGTGTATGAATACGTTTAAGCAATCACCATGAAGTAGTAGCTGATAGTTGTTCACAAATATTCTTCTCACATGTTTAAGACAAGAAGATTGGGCATGACTCGAGAAGGGCAGTAAAATTTTTGACTCAGAATGGCAGATTCCTTGCGATCTTTTGTAATTACAGCTTACTGAAATCACATTTTATTTATTTATTTATTTATTTATTTATTTATTTATTTATTTATTTATTTGAGATGGAGTCTTGTTCTGTCGCCCAGTCTGGAGTGCAGTGGCGCAATCTTGGCTCACTGCAAGCTCCGCCTCCTGGGTTCACACCATTCTCCTGCCTCAGCCTCCCGAGTAGCTGGGACTACAGGTGCCCGCCACCACGCCCGGCTAATTTTTTGTATTTTTAGTGGAGACGGGGTTTCACCGTGTTAGCCAGGATGGTCTCAAATCTCCTGACCTCGTGATCCACCGGCCTTGGCCTCCCAAAGTGCTGGGATTACAGGCATGAGCCACCGCGCCTGGCCTCACATTTTAAAATTGATATTCTATGTGAATAAATAGCACTTTTTCTTCTGTAATCCAAATTACAGTAATCAATATGAATCCTATGTCACCCAAGTAAGGAGTAAAATAATTTAAAACATGAGTTCAGTATTTTAAGGTCAATGACTCTAATATGCCACTGATTACTAAAGTACACATCCAACTGGGTTGCATTTATCTAAATTCAGTAGCCGAATCTACTCTTATTCATAAATGTTTTCTGAGTGTCCCTCCATGCGAAACATCTCTATGATAGCTAGATTTAGAGACAGGTATCTAATGCCTAATGAATATCTCAATTGGGTAACATTTGTGTGCTATAAGGCATATAAGATACCACATACTGATACAATGCTCTATAGTTTTCCTTCTAAAATAGTTGTGTCATGTATTCCCACTGAAGTTTGAAGGTTGGGATAATATCTTTAGATTGAACATTTTATTTATTCTTTCAGAATAAGTTTTGTTCTATCAAAAGGAAAACTATATAGACTTTTTTGTGTATTATTGATATAGTAATACTGGTATAATCTTTTTCTGACAGGCTAGAAAATTTCACAGCATATTTAAATATGAATACAACTGACATATGATTCCTTTTAACTTGGCCTAATTATATGCGTTAACTCACAAAACAAATATATAAACCAATTAATATCAACTACAGTGAAAAGTGAAACAATTTAACTCTTACTAAGCCTGAAGAAAATGACATGATCACACTATGTCTGATTTCTATTCACAACATTTTTATTATCTAGTAAGGGATGCAATGGAAACAAACGTCTAAGTATAAATATATAAAAATATGAATAAAATTAATCACACTTCTATTATGGTCAATTGCAGTAAACATACTAAAATACAGTTATTATAGATAACTACAGGAATCCAGGATTCTATCTTGGAGGCGGTACTATTTGATGCAAGAACTGCATTTTAATATGATGCTATCAGAACAAATGAGCTGAAATGGGGAGAGAATCCCATAGAGAAAAAATCAACAAAATCATAAGGTGAAGATTTATGTATAGAGAAATAAGCCTAAAAAGCAAGGTATTTTCTTTATTATAAAACAGATTAAAAATTCTAAACAATAGACTACATAGAATGGCCACATTTGAAACCTTTCTACAGAAGCAGGACAATCAGGAATCAAATGAAATAAAATAAGAAGAAATAAATTGGAAAGGCAAAATAAGAAGTGAGAATATATTATTTTCTAGATCAGAATATTATACATATTAGGAGTTTAATGGAAACATTAATATTTGTGTAATTTTACATTATGCATGAATCATTTTTATTAATAGTATCTATTAGTTATCTACCTCTTAATGATAATGTATATATTTGTTACTATAAGAGGCAGAATTCTAAGAGGGCCTCTAAGATTCCACTCCCTGGTGTATATGCCTTGTATATTCTCCTCCCTTTGAGCTGTGGACAGAAACTGTGAATTTAATGGGATATCGTGTGCTTAGCTTGATAATTGGTTGTCTTTGAGTTAATAATCTTTTAGAAATAACTTATTCTGACCCAGTCCCCAATCAGAGGACCCTTTAGGAGAAGGTAAAGCATCAGAAAGGTATGGTCCTTTTGAGCTTGAAATTGAAGCCTCCATGAGTTCTGCAGATACCAGGAAATGAATTCTGTCAATGATCACATGAGTTTGGGTGACGAACCTCAGATAACACCGTGGCCTGGCCAACACCACTACTGTAGCCTTGTGGGACCCTAATAGAGGACCCAACTAATCCCTGCTCAAACTCCTTATCCACAGAAAGTGTAAACCTTAATCTAAATACCTTAAATTTCTTTGAATTAATCTAGCCTTGTTCTTATTTATTAAGATCCCTAAATAACATATCAGCTTTCAGAAAGCAATGTAAAAATAAATATTTTGTACAGTTTTAAAAGAACTTAGGAAATGTGAGGAGTCAACATTACTAAATATAGTTGTGGAGTGCACACAGGATATAGAATACACACTTTTACTCCAGTATGCTTATGTGTTATTTCTGCCTTAAAATTTAAAAACGGTTAAGTGGAGTCTTTCTTTCAAATTCAGGTTTTGAAAAAAAATTTAGTTGAGAGGAAGGGAAAAGGCAAGTTGAATTTCAAGATCCATGTTTAAGAAGGTAGTTATAAGTATCCATTACCCTCTGTATGGGTTGAATTGTGTCTCCCCAAAATTTATATTTTGAAGTCCTAGCTCCTAAAACTTCAGAATGTGACCTTATTTGGGAAAAGAGTCATTGCAGATGTAATCAGTTAAGATAAGGTCAACACAGAGAACGATGGGCCCCTATTCGAACATAACTGGTATTACAGAAAGGGAAAATTTGGATAAACACAAAACACAGGGAGAACACCATGTGAAAATTAAGGCGGAAATCAGGGTGATGCTTCTATGAGCCAAGGAAAGCCAAAGATTGCCAGAAAACCACAAGAACTAGGGGAGAGGCAGCCCTCAGAAGGAACCAGCTCTGTCAATATCTTGATATGAGACTTATAGCCTCTAAAACTGTGAGACAATAAATTTCTATTGGTTTAAGCCACCCAGTTTGTGATAATTTGGTATGGCAGCCTTAGCAAACTAATAAATGCTCCTTCCTTAAAGTTTTTATATTTAGTGTGTTCAGGAATGAGAACATTTTAACACATAAGATTTATTCTATTAAATATTGACATATATATCAAAATATACACAAATGTCTAAAAACAGCCAACGGTTTTCACTGCCTTTCAAATACTGAGGTACTAACTAATGTATTATATTCTGACGCTTTTGGTTAAAATGCAATACATTTTCAGAACATCAGAGTCATCCATAACTAAATACATAACTAAAACCATATGTAAAATATTTCTTCCCCACAAAATTGGAATTAATCTTACTGTGTTCTCCTCCACTAGCAATGATTATTATGATTTACTGGAATCCTTAATTTCATCAACAACATATAAATAGGGAACTTATGAAAATACCTTCAGGCCAAAATGTATCTGTAATGTTATGTTTTTAAAAGATAACTATTTGGTGTGGAAATGCAAAAGCCCAGCCTCAGTGTGAATGCCAACATTAATATTTATACATTATGGACCTAGTTTATCTGTATGAGTGTCACAGAAACCCTCATAGTTTGGGATGCCCCTGGGCTATCTCAGAGTAGAACAGTATATATACCACTGATCATTATTATCTCTGAGAGACATAATAATTTAGGAAGTTGTCAAAATATAATTTTATCCACTTTTTCCTGCATATCCATGCCATAGATTTGCTATGAAATGATGCACAGTACTTCAAAATAAAGGTGAAAATAAATTTTTCACAGTACATATTTAAAACTTGGTTGATCAAAATCAGTAACAATGAAAAAGTGACATATGAACTCTATATCACGTCAAGTGTGGGACTGTACCATGTAATGACATTTTGGTCAATAATGGACCGCATATACAACAATGATCCCATAAGATTATAAACGAGCTGCCTCGTGATGTCATAGCTAACATTAATGTCTTGGCACAATGCATTATCTTTTCTATGTCTAGGGATGTTTAGGTACACAAATATTTTACCATTGTATTACAACTGCGTTATAATGTAGGTGTGTAGTAGTCTATATCATCTAGGTTTGTGTAAGTACACTCTGTTTGCACAATGATGAAACAGCCTAATGACATATTTTTCAGACTGTATCTGCATCTTTAAGTGACACATGACAGTATAATAACAACTAGGACTCTCCCCATGGCAAGGAAGAGATAATGGCCATAACTTATTAATAACAGAGTCCAAGTGTATAAACTTATCTCTTCGGTGTTTAAAATTTTTAAATACATTCTACATTCATCCAAAATGATACTTTCTTTCAAAGGGAAATTCCTAAGCCAAATGAAATTATAATCAATAGGTATCTTTATATATTATAATGAAAAATATAGTACCTCTTTTTAAGACTTCTCAAGATCAAGAAAATTATAAAAAGTATCAATTTAAGCATTGATTTGGCATATGTTATTGTCATATTCTAATAAACTTAAGCACTATAAAACTAGAAATATATTTCTAAGAATACATTGTTGAACTCAAATATTTTTATTGTCTTAACATTTTGAAAAAAAATATACAAAACTTTCACCAAAATATTTGGTCAATGTAAACACACTGGCACTAAGAAGTCAAAAAAAATTATAAAAAATCATTTACATTTTTAGCAAGCAGTCAAAAGACACATATTTTATTCTAATTCAACTGTCACTAGTACATCACCAAGGGTTTTAAGCTGTTTCTGATTTCCTGTCTCCTCTGCATTAGGACTAGACAGAAAAAGACATAATGTTGGAGTACTACTGGATAATTTTCCCAAGGAGGAAACAATGATACATTAATTACATTTTAGACTGGATTTGTACAGTCTTACATGCATATAATATTCTAGTCTATATTTTTGTTTCTCAAAACTTTCTAAGTTTATTTTGACTTGTGAAGAGATAAAATATATCAGATTTAATACGTGACTTTAAGGAATTATAAATATCAACTTTATCGGCCCATATTTATAACATCTTGTAAACATAATTCACAACACATGCATACTTTGGCATCTAGTCTCACAGCATTCAACATGTGCCAATCCCGATGTGTCCACAATTGGTGGTTTCTTGGTCTGGCTGACTTCAAGAATGAAGCTGCAGACCCTCGTGGTGACTGTTACCGTTCTTAAAGATGCTATGTCCGGAGTTTGTTACTTCTAATGTTCCAACGTATCGGGAGTTTCTTCCTTCTGGGGGGTTCGTGGTCTAGCTGGCTTCAAGAGAGAAGCTGCAGACCATCATGGTGAACATTACAGCTCATAAAGGCGGCTCAAACCCAAAGAGTCAGCAGCAGCAACATTTACTGCCAACAGCCAAAGAACAAACCTCCCACACGTGGAAGCGGAGCTCACTCAGTTGCCGCTGCTGGCTGGGGCAGCCTGCTTTTATTCCCTTATCTGACCCCATCCACATCCTGCTGATTGGTCCATTTTACAGAGAGCTGATTGGCCCACTTTACAGAGAGCTGATTGGCCCATTTTGACAGGGTGCTGATTGGTGTGTTTACAAACCTTGAGCTGGACACACAGTGCTGACTGGTGCATTTACAATCCTCCAGCTAGACATAAAAGTTCTCCAAGTCCCCACTAGATGAGCTAGACACACAGCACTGATTGGCGCATTTACAAACCTTGAGCTAGACACGAAGTGCTGATTGGTGCATTTACAAACCTTTAGCTAGACATAAAAGTTCTCCAAGACCCCACCTGACTCAGGAGCCCAGCTGGCTTTGCCTAGTGGATCCCGGAAGCGGGCAGCTCGCCTGCAATGTATACATAAGTATACATAATTAATGCTGTAACAATATGCTAAGCACATTGCATATATTATCTCTAATGCTCACAACAAACTTGCCAAGCATGTTTCATTATAGCAGTTTTATAGATGTTGAGACTAAATTTAAAGAGCTGAATTGAATTGCTCAAAAGTAACACAGATAATAAATGGTGAACATGGGACTCAACCTTTAATTCAAATTCAAGTCTTTACATCTCCAGAGTCTGTATTCTCTCCGGTACACATGGGCAGCCTTGAAGACAGTAAACTAGCCATAAAAGAATAATAGGAGGCTCAAGGATGTTTACCAAGAAGGGAAGATTTCTGTGAGATATAGAAAAAAAATACAGATTTTGTAATTTTTCCCAGCTGGTTTTGAATCTTATCCCTACCATTTGTTAAATGCATGATCTCTAACAAGCTACTTGGCATCTACCCCTCAATAGTTCACCAGGAAAGATGGGGAGAATAATATATTTCATAGACTTACATTGACAATTAAATTGGAAAATCCATGTACAAGCTGCTGGCATAAGACCTGAGACAAGACATTCAATCCTGTATTTCTTCTTTCTTTCTCGATGGTTCAAAGATTGATGCTAGATGTTAGGTCTTATAATAAGGTATCGTGGGGTCATTGCACTTTCTTCTTCCCTCCCATTGCCTCACAGAGTCACCACCCAAAGGCACTGAGTCAGTGTCCATGAAGGAGACTTGAGTACTAACTTGTGCTTCTAAATCATCTACAAACAGGGTTTTTCTCCTCCCTTCTCCTACAGTTACTCCCTGGAAAGCAACTGCTTTTGGAGAGTAATTTGGTATCATCTATCAAAATGTATGATAGGCACGCACTGTGAGCCATTACGTTTCTAGGCATCTATCCAGTGGAAATCCTCCCACATGTGCCAAAAGGGAGATGTACAAGGTTATTTACTAAAGTATTGTGGTAAGAGAAAAGATGTTAGAATTACATTAATAAAGGCTTCCACAGATTGTTTTCAATTTCAACATCACTCTCCTTCATCTATATACTTTCCTAAAATACAAGGGAAGAGCTTGAGAGGTATCCTACCCAAATTCCAGAATGCCACTAGATTGTGCCAATAAATATCACTTGAATGAGATTTGGGATGTGGAAGAGTAAGAAAAGCCATTATTCTCTGGCAGGGCTGAGGACAGGCACAAGGGCATTGGCAGACAGCAGGCTGAAGACCTGGAGTTTTCCCAATAGCTTTCAGGCATCCTCCTGATAATTAAACACTTTTATGCCACCAGCAGTACAGATCTGCAGCATCAGCTTACCTGGCTCTGTCTGCACGTCCAGATAACCTGATAGCAAATAATGGGCCTAACATTTGCTAGCCCTACTCCTCCAGCCACTGCATACGCTTCTATTTTCTTCTACTAAACTTTTCCTTAAAATACTGAGTAGCTTCATTTTTTCTGAAAGAAGTAACCGATACTTCTAAATATGTTGGGAGAAAATTCCCTGTAAGTCTGACATTTCTACACAACCTCTGAAGAAAGGGCATTGACAGCTTTGTCAAAGCTTCTCCAGGTCAAGGAACAGATCTGCTTACTTTCCATGGTACTAAGGCTAAAGTCTCTCTCTCCTCCCTAGAAGCACTTCGGAATAACAAAGGTAGTGTCTACCTCTAGGAGAGAGGACAGATTTGTTTCCTGATCGGGGTAATAAAGGAGAAATTCCCCTGTGTAGCAAAGGTTGGGAAGGTTTGTTATCAGTCTCCTTATAAGATTACACTTGTTCCTTCTCAGTGATAAATAATCCTATGTGCATAGTATTCACCTGCACTCTTCTATATTGTCCCCATGAGACTTGCGGAGGGTAAGCAGGGGTAGAAATGTGAACATGAAGATCATATTGTTTGCTTTGTCATGGGTAATAAACTGTCTAAATCCACTTGGGCTTATTCTTTATTGGTCAAATCCATGAAAATGTGGAAATGTAGCCTGGCAGTTGCTTGTTGCTTAGAAACTACTTGGCCAGTTGATAATATAACAGAATACCATGCACACATTAAAATTAATAAATATACTAAGATGGATATTGGGTGAATGAGACAGCCCATCTTGAAGGCACAATGTCTCATTTGTCAAATCTGATCAAGCCGAAAGACCTAACTATATATTGCCTATAGAGAAATGCAAATATAAAGTCATAGATTAAAAATAAAATAATGAAAGGTGATATATAATACAAACATTAACTACATAAAAAGAGGAGGTTATATTAATAATAGCCAAAATACATTCAAGGAATATTACCAGGTATAAAGAAATTTATTCCATATTGAAAAAGGGGGTTGTTAGTTCAAAGGAACAGAAAAATCTTAAATGTGCTTTGCAGCTAATAACAGAGCTTCAAAATACATGAAGCAAAACTGATAGACTGAAAATGCCCCATTATAGTCAGAGCTTCCAAAACTACCTCACAATGCTGGTTGAACAAGTAGACATAAATTCTATAAGAATGTAGAAGACTAGAACAACACCTACCAGAAATTTATAGACCACTCCATCCAAAAACAGTTCAATACATTCCTCTAAAGTTCACAGAGACCATTTACTGAGAGATCATATTCAGGACCAAAAAACAAATCTTACTACATTTAAAAGAATTCAAGTCATACAAAGTAGGTTCTCTGACCAAATAAAATTAAAATAAAGATTAGTGATAGAAAAATCCCTGAATAATCTCCAACTGCTGGGAAAAAATAACATTATAAAATAATTCAAGGGTCAAATAAAAATAAAAGTAGAACATAAAAAGTATTTTATACCAAATTAAAATAATATACAGCATATACAATTTGTTGGATGCTGTGAAAGCAATACTTAGGGAGAAAGTTGGAGCACTAAACACCCATATTAGAGATAAATAAAAAATAAGGTCTCAAAAAAAAAAAAGCCATCCAGCTTTCAGCTGAAGAACCTGTAAACAAAAAGAGCAAATGAAACCTAATGTGAGAAATAGCATAGATGAGAATGGAACTAAATAAAATAGCATACAAGTAAAGAAAGTAAATGTAACTTTTGGCTTCATTTGGTTGCCTCTCAGAGAGGATTAATCAAATTGATAAACTTTTAGTTGGGAAAGAGGCACGGAGGGGAGGGAGAGAAAAGTGAAGAAAATGTACTTGCCTTTTTTTCCAATATTCATTCCTGATAAAAACTTTCAACAAAATAGAAACAGAAAGGAAATTTACAACCTGATAAAGGATATCTAAATATATATTAAACACACACACACACACATACATACACAGAGCTAACAGCATACTTAATAGTGAAAGACTAAATGCTTCACCTGAAGATTAAAGAAAAAAACAGGGATGTCTGCTGTTTCCACTGCTGCTCAACATTGTACTGAAGACTCTAGCCTATGAAATAAGGCAAGAATAAAACATAAAAATAATCTAGTTCAGAAAGAAAGAAATAAAACTGTATTTATTTGCAAATGACATGATTGTGTTAGAAAATCTGAAATTACTAGAACTAATAAGTTATTTAACGAGTTTGTACAAGATCAATATTCAAAACTCCATTGTATTCAATACATTAGCAATGAAAAAAATAGATTTGAAATAAAATAATATCACTAACAATAAAATCAAAAATACAAAATACATAGAAATCTGACAGAAATATGAAAGAAAACTAAAAAATATTGCTTATATAAAGACCTAAACAGATATATTATGTTCATGGACACTAAGACTAAATATTGCCAAGATAAAAATTTTTCTCAAATTCATCTATAATTACATGTATTTCAATCAAAATCCTAGCAGGATTTTTGAGAGACATTGATCAATTGATTCTAAAATTTAAAAAAAATTTAAAGGACATAAAGTAGCTAGATGTCTTTGAAAAAAAATCATAGATTTGAAGGACTAGTGCTACTTAATTTCAAGACACCATTCAGAGAATAAAATGATTAGCCAGAGTCTGGAAGAAAATCTTTCACAGCATATATCTAATAATTGACATGTATCCAAAATATAGAGAGAGTTCTAAAATCTCAATTAACACATATTTTTCAAATAGGAAAAAGATATGAAAAGATACTTCATTAAAGAAGATATACAGATAGCAAATAAGCTCAGAAAAAGATGCTCAACAATAGGGAAATGCAAATTAAAACCACAAAGAAAAATGACTACACACAAATCTAAAAGGCTAAAACTAAAAAGTCTGACTGTACCAAGTTTTGGGTAGGAAATCTCATATGCTCCTGGTAGAAATGTGAAATACTACAACCTGTTTGAAAACAGTTTGGAAGTCTCCTAAATATTTAAACCTGTCCTGACCATATCATTTCAGTCCTAAGTATTTACTCAAGAGAAATAAATACCTACGTCCCTATTTACACTCATGTTCATAGAAGCCTTATTTTCAGTAACCTCAAACTGTAAACAATCCAAATATCCATTAGCAGGTCAATGGATACAGTGTGTGTTATCTATACAATAGAATACTACTCCACAATTAGAATAAATAGCCTACTGATACACACTGCAGTACATAAGAACATCAAAATAATTATGTTAAGTGAAAAGTGCCAGACAACAAAAACTACATATGTTTCCATTTATATAAAGTTCTAAGAAATGCTAATTAGTGTTTAGTGACAGAAAACTAAGCAGTGGCTGTGTGGAGCCACAGCAGGAGGGATGAAAGAAGATTTACAAAGGGCACAAGAAAATTCTGAGACAGAAATCAGCAAGATGGCTGACTAGAGGTGTGCCTAACACTTATCACTCTCCAACAATCAGGAACCAAACTAATGAATAAGCAGCTGCATTTTGACCTGAGTAACTAAAGAGGAGTGCCAGAGTGCAGCAAAGGAGTGAGGTAAACCCTGTGGAGCACAGAAACTCAGGATGGTCACATAAGAAGAGAAGAAAACACATTGCCTCTGCCATCCCATCCCCAAGTCTGGATCACAAGGGGCTTCTCCAGATAGAGAAAGGCAAGTAAGAGACCCTCAGTGGCCCTCATCACCACTGTATTAGTCCATTTTAACACTGCTATGGAGATACTACCTAAGACTGGGTAATTTATAAAGAAAAGAGTTTTTATTGAGTCACAGTTACACATGGCTGGAGAGGCCTCAGGAAACTTACAATCATAGCAGAAGGTGAAGGGGAAGCAAGGCACGTCTTACATGGCGAGAGGAGAGAGAAAAATAATGAAAAGGGGATTGCCAAACACTTTTAAAACCATCAGCTCTCGTGAGAACTCCCTCACTATCAACAAAACATAATGGGAAAAACCACCCCATGATCCAGTCACCTCCCACCAGGTCTATCCCTCAACATGTAGGATCACCACCTGAGATGAGATTTGGGTGGGGACACACAGTCAAACCATATCAACCACCACGGATACCTGCAATTTTTGCTACTGGAGGATCCTGCAGTCTTTACAGTTCCTGAGCACAGCTTAGGGAATTGCCTGGGATTCACATGGCTGTACTACTCTAGAGAAGGAGCCCACATTGTGCCCTGAACCCCATGACCCAAGCTGCCACTGCACTATCACGTTCTGAACCCAGAGCCACTGCTAGAGTGCATTATGTTCTAATGGCCAGTAGCCACTGCATTCCTTCATCCCGGAGGTTTTGCCATCATTGCACCATGCTCTCACACATGATACTGCAACATTCCCTAGCCAAGCTATAGCTCCCTACTCTGGGAACAAGGTGCCTCAGAGGCTCATCTCCCCATTCTAATGTCTACCCTGTCCCCTGACTACTTGAACCTAGGCCCAGTGAGGTAGACACCTGAGCCAACCCAGTGTCCCACCACACCACCCCTCTATGATCCACTCCACCCCCAATCTCCTGAATTGGAGTGTCTCTTAAAATTCAACAGCAGAAAAATTTTAAAAATCCAATTAAAAAATGGACAAAGGACCTGAATACACATTTCTCTGAAGAAGACATAAAAATGGCCAACAAATATATAATAAAGTGCTCTACATCAGTAATCATCAGGCAAATACAAATAACCACTGTGAAGCATTACCTCACACATGTTAGGATGGCTATTATCAAAAAGGTAAGAGATAACAAATATTGTTGAAGGTGTGGAGAAAAGGAAACTATAGCATGCTGTTGGTGGGAATTTAAATTGGTGCAGCATGAGGAGATATACCTAATGTTAAATGACAAGTTAATGGGTGCAGCACACCAACATGGCACATGTATACATACGTAACAAACCTGCACGTTGTGCACATGTACCCTAAAACTTAAAGTATATTTAAAAAATAAAAAATAAAGAAATAATAATAAAAAAATAAATTGGTGCAGCCATTAGGAAAAACAGAACAAAGGTCCTATGTAAATTAAAAATAGAACTAGCGTATGATTCAGCAATCTTTCCTCTGGGAATAGACTCAAAAGATATGAAATCACCACTCCCTAAAGATAGCTACACTGTCATGTTTATTGCAGTGTCATTCACAATTGTCAAGATATGGAAACAACCTAAGTGTCGATCAACAGACAAATGGAGAAAGAAAATGTGATATATATACAACAAAATATTACTCAGCGTTTAAAAAAAAAATCAGATCCTGCCATTTGACACAACATGGATGGACTGGAAAGACATTACGTTAAGTGAAATAAACCAGACACAGAAAGAATAATATTGCATTTATATGTGGAATCTAAAAAAGTGAAGGTCAACCCTATAGAGACAGAGAATTAAAAAGTGGCTACCATGGCAGGTGGGGCAGGGAGAAAATGAGGAGATTTAGGTCAAAAGATATAAAATTAACAAGCCTAGATATCTAATGTACAACATGAGGGCTATAGTTGATAACATTGTTTTGTGTTAGGAATTTTCGTTAAATAAGATTTTAACTGTTCTTGTTACAAAAACATAAGTATACCAGATGACAGATACTGTAATTTGATTCACTATTGTAACCATTTTACTATCTATATGTATCTCATAACATGTTGTAAACCTCAAATATACACAGTCAAATGTATTTTTTAAAAAAAATTAAAGAAAATTATGGGAGGTGTTACGATCACTATCTCAATCTTGGTAATGGTTTCATGGGTCTATATGTCAAAACTTAAATAGTATATTTTAAAAACATGCAGTTTATTGTATGCCAATCACATCTTAATAAAGCTATGTAAATAAAAAGCAATATGTAACCTCTAATAAGACAAAATACATACTGAATGCAGTTATATAATAACACATGTTCAGTTGGGAACTCATAATACCAATTAGTTAAGTTTAAAATGATCAGAGGCATGAATTAAGCAGAATAAGTATTTGATTCATTCATCTTTGATTTTCCTACTGCAGGTTACGGTATTTTTCCAGCTTATTCAGAGTGATGTAAACCTTGATTTCAATTTTACAAAGTCCATGGGCTTACTTGATAAGCAAACCATCAGAAGATAGAATTTAAATTTCTGTAGAAATATACGTTACATTTTATAAAATGCCTTTTTGAAATTGTAACTTAATAGATTGAATTAGCACTAACTAATCATGACTGAGAATAATTTTTAAAAAGTCATAAAAACACTGAAAACTCTTTAGCTGTAAGTTTTTAAATGTCCATAAGAAATTACTTATTTTTTATTGTCTTTTCTTGATAATATCCAAGCTCCATGATTCACTATTTCAGTCTGTCATTCATCATAGATTGTATTATTACAGTACACTTGAAATTTTTAAAAATCATGGTCTTTTCTGAAATTGTTATTTCCTTTGGAAAGAACTTATGACTGATTTTAATCATTTAAATTACATATAAATTATTATTTGGGCTTTTAAGTTTGTCTTTTTTTTGGTAAAAAAATATCTGGTTTAGCAATTACTTTTACAGAGATATTCTTGAACTTATCAGTAACAAGAGAATTGAATCCTTCTTTTATTTCCTCATATTGATTGTACCTGACTGTCACTTTGAAGTTCCAAAGCAGTAAACTATGTACCTAAGCTAGTTTATTGAACTGATACTTTAAATTGTCCTAGAAAAAAATCAAGTTGACTCATGACAGGGATGTGTTTTATAGCTATATATAGTCAATATAGAAATAAGCTTAAATGCCAAATTTAAAAAATTATATCATTGTTAGTACATGTCCTATACTTTAAATCAGTATATTTAACACCTATATCCTTTATTTTTACTTCACCATAATGAAAATCAGATATGAACAGACCATGAAAAAGCATTAAATAACTTTAATTGAATAAATGAGAATTTTTCTATTATATAATTAACATAAATGATCATAAATAATTTGACTTGATTTTAATATTTTCATTTAAATTTTTTACAATTTGTTTTTAGTTTAACACATGTTTTTAGTGTGCGTTCTTTTAATTCTTGTAGTTTAATTTTTAAAGGAGGAAATAGTTTTGTTTCCAAAGTAGTTCTACCTAAGCGATATTCAAAATGTGCTCCACAGACCATTAGCATCAGCATCATCTGAGAATATAATAGAAATGCAAGCACTCAGGCACCACTTACTGAATCAGGACCTCTGGAAGTGGAATCCAAGAATCAGTTAGTACTTTATCAAACTCTCCAGGTTATTTGTATGAACACTGAAATTTGCAAAGCACCTGTCTTTATATAAGAGGTTTTTCTCTCTTTCCATATTAAATCAATTACAACATACCATTCTATAAAAGATATGTTCTGCCCAACAAGTCTAATCAAAAAATAATGTCAAGTTCTTGACTATTCTTTATTATTTTATTTTATTTTTTGTGAAAATGAATGTTTCAGTTTAAGGAGAAAACACCTAGGTCTGGTTGAGGAGTACAAAGAAAGGTTTCAAGGGCGTTATTGATACTAAAAAACTAAAGCATATAAGTCTCTCACTACATAATATTTTAAGCTATGAATTAAGACCAGAACCACCCAAGGATCTAATAATTTCACCACGTTGTTCACATTTTGAAAGCCAACACATGTTCATACTTTCTATATTCTTTGTTGAAATTAATTATTTCAATCGTGTCTCAGAGCCCAAACTAGGAATACAAGCTAAGCCCAGTTAATTTCCAACATATCGTATTTCAAATATATTATGAAGGTTAATCCAGAATTCCTTCCATATGTTTAGAATAAATTTTTTATAAATATGTTCAATTTTGCCTGAGTGATTTAACTATTAACATATAAATATTTCAAGTGCCTACCATAATTTTCAAACACTAAACGTTCTTATTAGTTTATTTCAATATAAAAATCTCAGCTGTTAAAATAACTGTTTGAGGCAACAGTATTTTCTTTGCTTTTTCTTATAGACCACTATGAGTTTTAACTTCATGTGATGCCTGACAAATTTAAATGAAGATATTCTACACGTTTCTGACTACATTACATTGCATTCGAAATTACATGATAAGAACTACTGGATGAAATCAAGTTTAAGAATTTATAGTAGTAAAATAGATGTTTAATGTATGTGTTTTATGATGAATTCTCTGATAAGTAACTCAAAACACTTGTTAATAGATCGATGAAATCAAATAATTAGTCACTTAAAGTATAAAAATATATTACTTATGATATTAAAATAAAAAGAACATATAATAAGCACTTTATAAATAACACTGAATTCATCTAAATCCTCAATGCTTCCCTGAGGAAAGAGTTTTTGTTGCTTTCCAAGCATCTAATACTAGGTGTTGTGGTTGTTAGCTAGTACCTATCTAAAACCAAGTTTTAACTCTGACATGGTCACTTGTCTCATGTATTTTCAATGTTTGGGGCTAAAAAGCACCTCAATTCTTTGATATATTTCTTAAATGAAAGAGTTCACAATTTACTATTCTGCTGGTAGAACTCTACATGTTGTTCACAAGGATGGTCTAAATGAAACGTTTAGTGGAGACTTTTCTATTTCTTTGCCACATAAAGGCAAAACCTAAAGAGACATAATATAGTGAAGAAATGCTTTTTACCTGTTTCTCATGCCTTCCATCCAAAATCACTGCTTCCCCAATCTATTGAGTTCTGTGAGACTGTTTACTATAGTGGTAGAAAGGTATCTAAGCATATTAACCCTGTCCATACTTATGTTGGGTACAGCAATTGGTCAAGATATGGGCACTAGAATCACACAGGGCTAGTTAAATTCTTCCCTACATATTTATATACATATCATGGGGGAGAAAGCCATGTTTCTTACTAAATTATGAGTGGCAAGAAGCAAAGTTTGGCCTTAAGGCAAGACACAGTGCTAAGTGAAGAAAGCCTACTTGAGAACCTGAGAGAACACGTGGGGAGATGGGAGTCTGAGCCATGATTACTTCATTTAAACCACATAGTATCCTTTACTTATCAGTTAAAAGAGAAAATAAAACATCTTTTTCTTAAGTTGGTTTGAGCTTGTTTTTTTTTTCCTTTTCTGGGGAAAAAAAGAATCCTAGGTGAATTTGCCTAGTGAATGCCAATAGCCACATCCCCATAGCATAACTTCCAAAGGTTAAATTTAAATTTGGATTGTAAAGATTTTCCTGCTTCTAAAATAAAACCACTTTACAATGGGCCTGCATATATATTTAATTATGCTGTACATCTGCAGTTATATAATTGACCAATATTTACTGAGATCCTACTATGAGCTGAACATAATTAGTCATTTTGAATATATTAGTGTGCAAGGTAGACATGGTCCCTTCACTCACAGAGCTCTTAGTCCTGTAGAATAAAAAGTTAAGGAAAGTACAATAAGAAGAAATTATAATATGCAACATAATAGGAATTACCTGTCTTGTTTTAAGAACACAGAGGAGACGCATCCAAGCAGAATTCGGGTGTAAAGGAAGGCAATATGAATATAACACCCAGGGAAAATATACAACAATAATATATACAGTGCAAAAGGGCTAATGATTTTCGTGAATTTAAAGAGCCTCTATCGAGGCAGGAGAATAGAACCTGGAGGCTGGAAACCTAAGGACTTCCTAGAACTAAATCAAATGGAAACACTTCAGTTATGACAGGAAATATCCTCTTCATTTACATAGGGCATACACAAAGTTACCAGTGGAAATCTCTAGAGGATATTTAAACCCCCAAAAATTCTGTAACAGGGCTCTTGAGTCTCTATCCTCGGGCCTGCTCCCACACTGTGGAGTGTGCTTTCATTTTCAATTAGTCTCTGCTTTTGTTGCTTCATTCTTTCCGTGCTTTGTGCATTTTCATCTAATTCTTTGTTCAAGACGTCAAGAACCTGTACCCCCTCCACCAGTAACACTATGATTTAACTGGTGGCATTAGAATCACAGGATTTTTTTTGTTTGCTCCTTTGCTTTTTCTATTTCCTTTTAAAGTTAAATTGGAACAACTAAATGAGTTAGAATCTGTTTAGTTTTCCTATGATGTGATTAAAAAAATGAATAAATCCAAAGTAAGTTCCATTGAAATAGTAATTTTTGCAAGCATTAATAATAGCTGTCTATATTTTTTAAGTTATTATACTCTTTAGTATGATCATTTTATCTAATGAAGAATTCTACAGTATATATTATAGCTATCTGGAATTTATACAATTATTTTGTGCAAATGGTTCTCACTTGATTCTCATAGACTGCTACTGATCTTACCACACCAGCCTGATGTTATAGAAGAGTTTAACAAGAGTGAGATTTTCTCAAGTGTACTGAGTTAACACATACAGCCAGAATTTGAAGTCTGAACTTCAAACCTCATGCTTTTCCAAATGTATCACATAGCCCAGTATGGAGAGAGTGCTGTATTAGGGACTTCAGAGGATACAAAGAACCATAACGTACTGTCTGGGAACTTTAAATTCCCCTACTCTAATTCAATAGATGAAAAAAAAGAAAGCTAATACAACACAAAATAATGAGAAGCATATGGGGCAAGTAATTAGGCAATTAATCACCATCAGTTATAGAGAAAGAAGTAGGCTGTGCGTAAGAGATGATTAGAAATATTAAGATTAAAATAATATACAAGTTTATGTATCCTAAGAATACATACTTTATTCATAGCAAGGCAGGTGAAGTCCCAAAATTGAGCACAAATTCTGTGGAGTATTTCACATGCTTATCCAATCCTCACACATGAACATATAGCTATTTTACTATGTATCCCTATAAACATTTTTAAAGCTGTTAATTTAACACAAAAATACACAAAAAAAATGAATGAATACTTTTGACTCAAAGTCTAATGCCGTCTTACAGGTCTGTAATATAATCCAACTTTCAAGCATTATCACAATGGTAAATTATTCTAATGCCTGCAATTAGGGGGACATAATCTGTCAGTTAAAAATCAGTGTTTTCTTTTTCTTTTTTTATTTTTATATATAGTTTTATCTTACTTTAAATACTGGGATATATGTGCAGAACGTGCAGGTTTTTTATGCAGCCATACATGTGCCATGGTGGTTTCCTGCACCTATCAACAGGTCATCTAGGTTTTAAGCCCTGCGTGCATTAGGTATTTGTCCTAACACTCTCCGTCCCCTTGCTCCCATCCTGCGACAGACCCCCGTGTGTAATGTTTCCCTCCCTGTGCCCATGTGTTCTCATTGTTCAACTCCCACTTATGAGTGAGAACATGTGGTGTTTGGTTTCCTCTTCCTGTGTTAATGTGCTGAGGATGATGGTGTCCAGCTTCATCCATGTCCATGCAAAGGACATGAACTCATTCTTTTTTATGGCAGCGTGGCATTCCGTGGTGTATATGTGCCACATTTTCTTTATCCGGTCTATCACTGATGGGGATTTGGGTTGGTTCCAAGTCTTTGATATTGTTAATAGTGTTCCAATAAACATACACGTTCATGTGTCTTTATAGTAGAATGATTTATAACCCTTTGGGTGTATACCCAGTAATGGGATTGCGGAGTCAAATGGTATTTCTGATTCTAGATCCTTGAGGAATCGCTACACCATCTTCCACAATGGTTGAACTAATTTAGACTCCCATCAATAGAGTAAAAGTGCTTCTATTTCTCCACAGCCTCGCCAGCATCTGTTGTTTCTTAACTTTTAATGATTGCCATTCTAACTGGCATGAGATGGTATCTCATTGTTGTTTTGATATGCATTTCTCTAATGACCAGTGATGGTGAGCTTTTTTTCATATGTTTGCTGGCCGCATCAATGTCTTCTTTTGAGAAGTGTCTGTTCATATTCTCCTTGAAAGTCAGCACAAAACAAGGATGCCCTCTGTCACCACCCCTATTCAACATAGTATTAGAAGTTCTGGCCAAGGCAATCAGGCAAACGAAGGAAATTGTATTCAAATAGGAAGAGAGGAAGTCAAATTTTCTCTGTTTGCAGATGACATGATTGGATATTTAGAAAACCCCATTTTCTCAGCCCAAATACTCCTTAAGCTTCAGCAAAGTTTCAGGCTACAACAGCAATGTACAAAAATCACAAGCATTCCTATACACCAATATTAGACAAGCAGAGAGCCAAATCATGAGTGAACTCCCATTCACAATTGCTACAAAGAGAATAAAATACCTAGGAATACAACTTACAAGGGACGTGAAGGACCTCTTCAAGGAGAACTACAAACTATTGTTCAAAGAAATAAGAGAGGACACAAACAAATGGAAAATAGTTCCACGCTGATGGATAGGAAGAACCAATATCATGAAAATGGCCATACTGCCCAAAGTAATTTATAGACTCAATGCTATTCCCAGCAAGCTACCATTGACTTTATTCAAAGAACTAGAAAAAACTACTTTAAATTTCATTTGGAACCAAAATGGAGCCCATATAACCAAGACAATTCTAAGCAAAAGGAACAAAGCTGGAGGCATCATGCTACGCGACTTCAAACTATACTACAAGGCTACAGTAACCAAAACAGCATGGTACTGGTACCAAAACAGACATATAGGCTTATGGAACAGAACAGAGGCCTCAGAAATAACACCACACATCTACAGCCATCTGATCTTTTTTTTTTTTTGAGACCAAGTTTCACTCTTTTTGCCCAGGATGGTGTGCAATAGCGCGATCTCGGCTCTTTGCAACCTCTGCCTCCTGAGTTCAAGTGATTCTCCTGCTTCAGCCTCCCGAGTAGCTGAGATTACAGGTGCACGCCACCACACCCAGCTAATTTTTGTACTTTTAGTAGCAATGGGGTTTCACCATGTTGGTGAGGCTGGTCTTGAACTCCTGACCTCAGGTGATCTGCCCACCTTGGCCTCCCAAAGTGCTGGGATTACAGGCATGAGACACCGTACCTGGCCAATCTTCTTTATTTTTGAGACAGAGTCTCACTCTGTCACCCAGGCTCCCAGACTGGAGTGCAGTGGCATGATCTTGGCCCAGTGCAACCTCTTTCTCCTGGTTTCAAGCAACTCTCTTGCCTCAGCCTCTCCAGTAGCTGGGACTACAGGCATGTGCCACCATGCCTGGCTAATTTTTATAATTTTGGTAGAGACAGGGTTTCTCCAGGTTGGCCAGGCTTGTCTGGAACTCCTGACCTAAGGTGATCCACCAACCTCAGCCTCCCAAAATATTGGGATTACAGGCATGAGCCATTGTGTCCAGCCTAAAATTAAGTGTTTTTACCACAAGGTAATGAGATTACAGACACCATACAATCTGGCCACTTTGTAATGTAGATATTCCAGTGATCTGAAGTTTTTCAAAATAAGGAAAATAGTAACTAACAAAATACATAAAAATAAATATCCTTTGTTAACTACATTTCACTTATTTTAATAGAAAGTTTCTAGTTTAAATAGAATGTGATTTTTTTTTAGAATTCTCTGAAAGAGACTGCACCTTCTGCAAAAGTAAACAACTTGAGTGATTATTTCTCCTTGCAGGTAGTCATTATTAGATATTAGATGAAGAATGAGAGGAACATGTCAGAGCTTCATATAATGAACTCATATTATAGCAACATTTTATCATAATAAATGTAAGAATAGATCTTTGTCATATTACAAAATAGTAATATGTAAGTCTTCATCATAATATAATGATATATTTGAATATTTGGGGAATTTAAATATATGTTCATTTTCTGTTATTTTTGCCCTGTTTTTTCTCCAGATTTTTGTAAATCATAAAAATCCAAGTTTTCAAATAAAATATTTATCATATTTTAAACAATGCCTATTTTCAATAACCCATCTCTGGTACATGAAACTCTTTTTTAATCAAATAAATCTATAAATTAAAAAACAAAAAAATTATAAACCCTATAAACAAAAAAATTATAAACACCTTCTGATGACAGCAATGTGTTAAAATTTTCAACATGTGATAGAAAATAGAGTAAAGAAACCATTACCCAAAAAAATCCTTCAGACTTGGCTCTCACCCAGACACCCTCTCTAATTTTAATAAATGCTTTCCTCCTTTACCTAATTGAATAATTTCTCCCTTTGACTCATATATTTGTATAAATTAATTCATCTGTAGCATACTTTCCCTGTATTTTAGTTACTGGTATATTTGCCTTATTGCACAAATCCATATTAGATTGTAATCAATTTTATGGATAGGGACTCCATTATAATAATAGTTCAACTACACTGGAATACTATGATGTAGAGTCTGCTTATTTGCATACCAGTTTTATGAGTCCATTCTCATGCTGCTGATAAAGACATACCTGAGACTGGGTAATTTATAAAGAAAAAGAGGTTGAATGGACTCACAGTTCCATGTGGCTTGGGAGAGCTCACCATCATGGTGGAAGCTAAAAGGCATGGCTTACATAGCGGCAGGCAAGACAGAAATGAGAGCCAAGCAAAAGGGGAAACCTCTTATAAAACCATCAGCTCTTGAGACTTATTCACTACTATGAGAACAGTATGGGGGAAACCGACCCCATGATTCCATTATCTCCCACTGGGTCCCTCCCACAACATATGGGAATTAGGGGAGCTACAATTCAAGATGAGATTCTGTGAAGGATGAAAGAGGTCAGGAAGCTGCAGAAGGAAGGTGAGGGGCTTTGAAAATTTCAACACTTAAGGGAAGCAAATAACTGCAGGTGTTGTAGAAATATTAAGAGGGCTAGAATTAGAAGTGGAGCCTAAAGAAGTAACTGAATTGCTGCAAACTCATAACAAAATTTGAATGCTTGAGAAGTTGCTTCTTATAAATGAAGAAGGAAAATGTTTTCTTGAGATTAAATCTACTCCATGTAAAGATGCAGTGAACATTGTTGAAATGACAACAAAGAATTTAGAATATTACCTAAACAATTGATAAAGCAGGAGCAGGGTTTAAGAGGACTGACTCCAATTTTGAAAGAAGTTCAAGTGTCGGTTAAATGCTATCAAATGATAACATAATACAGAAAAATCTCTTGTGAGTGAATCAGGGTGGAAACTTGATGCTTGTGTTAAGAAACTGGTACAGCTACCCAAGCTTCAGTGGCCACCACGCTGATTAGTCAGTGGCCAGCAACATCGAGATCAGGCCCTCCAATAGCCAAAAGATAATGATTTGGATGACTGTTAGCATTTTTAAGCAATAAGGTATATTTAATTAAAGTATGGACTTTTTTAGACATAATGCTATCGCACATTTAATAGACTGTGGTATAGTATAAGCATAACTTTTATAAGAACTGGGAAACCCAAACAATTTGTATGACATTTATTTTACTGTGATATTCACTTGATTATGGTGGTCTGGAACTGAACCTGCAATATCTTTAACATATGCCTGAAATTGATTTTTTCCAGTTTATTAAAACTAAATAATAAACATTATCAACTATAAATCATTTCCTTATCAGAATGAATGTGGAGAATCTAGGCAAAATAATCTAAGGAAATGATTTAAAGGATATTATTTTTGACTACACAAGAAATAAAGCAACTTAAGTGGTAAAAGTACAGGTTGTAGGGACAGGCACAGAGGCTTAATCTAGGATCCAGTTTATTAACTATATGTCCTAAACGAGTTACATTTATTGAACCCTAAATAATTCATCCAGTCAACAAATTATTAATAATCATGTACTGTATCAACCTCCACCTCCCGGGTTCAAGCGATTCTCCTGCTTCAGCCTCCCAAGTAGCTGGGACTACAGGCACCTGCCACCATGCCTGGCTAATTTTTGTATTTTTAGTAGAGATGGGGTTTCACCAGGTTGACCTGATTGGACTCGATCTCTTGACCTCGTGATCTGCCCACCTCGGCCTCCCAAAGTGCTGGAATTACAGGCGTGATCACTGCATCCGGCCAGGCATTTTTATTAATTTCCTATGGTTGCTATAATAGAGTTCTACAAATTTAGTGGTTTAAAATAACACATATATATTATCTTACAGTTCTGTAGAGCAGAAGTCTGACAGAGGTCTCACTGGTCTAAAATCAAGGTGCCTGCAAGACTATTTTTCTTTTTGAGATTATCCATTTCCTTGCCTTTTTGAACTTCTCGATGCTCCGCACATTTCTTGGCTCATGACCTTGATCCATTTGCAAAGCCAGTATAATGGTGATTGAGTCCTTATCACATTACAGCACTCTGGCCTTAACTTTTCTTCTGCCTCCCCCCGTTTCACTTTTAAGGAACCCTGTGATTATGGTAGGCCCACGAAGGTAATCCGGGATAATCACCCTATCTGAAGATCTTTAAATTAATCGCATCTGCAAAATCTCTTTTGCCATGGATGGTAACATATTCACAGTTAGAGAAGAGACATCTTTGAAAGGCCATTATTCTGCCTACTACAGCATCATATCAGCATTGCTGATAAGGTTTCTGGAAAACTTCCTTATTCTATAAAATTTACTCATAAACAACTTGTGAAATTAACTTGCACTTATAATAATGCAATTGATTCTTTTATAAAAGCAATGAAAATGATTTTTATTTAAAGTAATCTAAAGAAATGTTGTCCAGTATAGATATGATTTATTTCTAGCTGCTAGAGGCAACAATCTCAAATGTTATAGTTCATAGCCCTGTAGGATATTAAGCAATTATGCATCTATTAGTAAATTATTCTTAATGTTCTCTGACTGACTATATTAATCTCAGTACTTTTAATAATCCTTTGAACCAGTTTTGGCATCTTCTGATTCTCGCATTAATTAATTAGTTGAATAAAATCACTGACTTGGTTCATTTATATTTATGAGGGTCATGTTTTCAACTCTTTGACAGTTATATTTTAGCAAATTATAATAGATCTGTGTTAAACTTATTTTTTAGCAACACTTATCTTCTAAATCCGCAGTCCCCAATCTTTTGGCACCAGGGGTCAGTTTTGTGAAGACAATTTTTCCACGGACAAATTGGAAAAAAACTGGGGTGGGGGGGTATAATGGAGTCTCACAAGGAGCACGCAACCTAGGTCCCTCGCATGTGCAGCACACAATAGAATTCGTGCTCTCATGAATCTAATGCCAGCGCTAATCTGACAGGAGGTGGAGCTCAGGCAGTAATGCTCGCTCACCCACCACTCACCTCCTGCTGTGCAGCCCGGTTCCTAACAGTCCACAGACTGATATCAGGGATTGGGGACCCCTGTTCTAGATAATTACATTTCAGATACTTCTGGGACATCTAAGTAGACATCATTATTAATGAATTTCACCTATTTTTCAGTTGTAAGTTAGGATAATAATAGAAAATAAATTTCTTGATGTTACTATGAGATACAAATGCGATAATGTCACATAGCACAGTGTCTGACACATAAGAGACCGTACATAGAGGATAATTATTTTTATCAGTAGTATCAATAATCAGAATTTCAGTGGGAATTAACATGCTACTGGGATGGATATCAGTATAGAAATATCAGGGCTGAGAAATCAGTACTTTGTCATTAACATTTTTAGTCACACACCCGTATGTTACTTTTTTGGAACATGTTTATGCTTCATCAGCCAGCATTAAATGAAAAAAAAGTCATTCAACCTAGTAACAAAATTCTATATTAATAATGTATATTTAAAGATACTTTCACAAATTCTAGTTATAGGCAAAGTAAAGGTAACTCTTCATATAATATTAATTAGCTAGGTTTATAAGAATAAGAAAGCATTTTAGAGTATATTGAATCATTTGTTTTCATGCAAGCAATTAAAGAAACAAACAGATCTTAAAAGCCTTTCCTGTTATTGTCACTTTCATTATTATTTTTTACACCAATGCAGGTTATAGTTTAATCAAGATTTAACTATCATGTGGAATGAATCATGGGAGTTTTACTGTACATAAAGGATTTTGTCAAAAATATATAAATTTTGAGAACTCCAATAGTTTTCCAAGTTGTTAGTACCATTTTACGTTTTCGCCAGCCAGGATACCTGTTTCACATTCTCACCAGCACTTAACTATTACCAGTTTTTTCAACATTAACTATTTTAATGGCTTCATAGTAATATTTCATTGTGGCTTTAATTTTTATATCCTTGATGACAAATGTTGTAAAGTATCTTTCATGTGTTTATTGGTCAATCAGATATCATTTTTGGTTAAGGGTCTGCTCAATTCCTTTGTTCATTCTCAATTGAATTGTTTGATTTCTTATTAAATTATAAGCATTCTTTGAGCACTCTCGGGATACAAGCCCATTGCAAGATAAATGTATTGTGAATATCTTCTTTCATTATGTGGCTTTCATTTTAGTTTTCTTAATGGTGTCTTTCAAAGACCAAAAGTTTTTAATATCAAAAAATTCCATTAAATCATTGTGCTTTTTTTAAAAAAAAGATTTTGTCAAATCTGTTTATAATCTGCTTGAGAGTTTAAATTTAAAAATTGAACTAAAACATGGTTAAATACGTACTTCATAGTCTGATATATTATTTGAGCTATACTTCCAATTAATTGGATTATATTTAGTTTCTATATTAAAAGTGTGCTAGTAAGCACTGTGTTACATGGCATATTTTCCTGGCTAAATTTATAGGAAGCGTATTAGTCTTCTATCACTGCAAAACAAATTATCACAAGTTAGTGCTTTAAAACAATACCCAAATTTTTAGCTAACAATTTTGTAATCAGAAGTCTGGCATACAGTGGTTGGGCTCTCTACTCAAAGTATCACAAGGCCCAAATCAAAGAATCTGGATGGGCTTCTCTTCTGGAGTTTCTAAAGAGAAATTCACCCCCAAGCTTTTTCTGTTGCTGTCAGAGTTACGCTTCCTTGAAGTTCCTGTAACTGAGGTTCTCTTTTCCTTGCTGGCTCTTAGCAACTAGAAGCCACCTTCATTCTTTGCCGTGTGGTTTCTCTTCTTCAAGCTAGCAAAGCTACATCAAATCTTCATGCTTGGAATCTCTGACTTTATCTTTGTCTGACCTCTAGGCCCAGACTTACAGGCTTTTATGAGTAGATCAAGCAAAACTAGATAATCTCCTTATGTTGAGATCAATGATTTGAGACATTAATTAAACATGCATAATCCCTGTAGCTTTATAACATAACCCAGCTGCAGAGAGTGAAAGCCATCCTATTTCACAGTCCTAGGGAATTACATAGGGTATGTACACCAGGGAATGGAGATCTTGGTGCTCAGCTTAGAGTTCTGCATACCACCGTGACATTTGAATTAATATGCACAATTATAATCTTGATACAACTTTTTTCTTTTAAATTGTACCTTTTATATTATTGGACATTAATAAGAAAAATAATATATTCCAATTAAAATTAAATTGCTGCATATTTCAAAGATAACATGAATTACATTTTATCCCTAAAATAATTGTATTTGACATTTACAAGACTCTCCTTTCATATTTGAAAAAAAAATCAGTTTTTTTCCTTGAATATTTTCATCCATGGTTGATTTTTAACCTCTTGTTTTTAGCTGAAACTAAAAATAGATGTGCTGAAACACCACATAAAAAGGTATTCTCGTTTGAAAATTGTGACCTTTGAGATAGAGACAAGCTTGGCTGCAAATCAATACTAAGGATACTTCCCTGCAAAAAAATTAAAGTTTCGGTCGTCACCAAGATATAGGTTAACATTTTAGCATGTTTGGCAGAAAGCATATTTTTCCTTTTTTTAATATCTATAAAAATGTATTTCTAAAGTGAATTCTTATACAGAATTCACAGAAGTATACCTCAATTTAAAAAACATATCCAGCCAGGCGCGGTGGCTCATGCCTGTAACCCCAGCACTTTGGGAGGCTGAAGCGGGTGGATCACCTGAGGTCAGGAGTTCGAGGCCAACCTGACCAACATGGTGAAACCCCATCTCTACTAAAAATACAAAAATTAGCCAGGCGTAGTGGCGGGCACCCTAATCCCAGCTACTGAGGAGGCTGAGACATGAGAATAGCTTGAACCAGGGAGGCGGAGTTTGCAGTGAGCCTAGATAGTGCTATTGCACTCCAGCCTGGGCGACAGAGCGAGACTCCGTCTTAAAAAACAAAAAACATATCCACAAATTTTTAAAATGTGAAATAATGTAATATAATTAACGGACTCACAAAACCATTGAGTAGAAGGTGGTGTAGTAGGTGTGGTTAATTTGAGGTAAAATAAAAGAAAACAAGAAATATTAACCCCAGTGAAAAATAAATTCAACACAGACATAACAAACTGAATGTATTTAAGAACTGAAAAATGGTATTAGTAATGATTCTTCTTCAGATTACAGATCAGTATATCAATACAAGTAATTTTGCAAATTAAAAGTAGTGTATTTATAATATTAGTCAATTTTTCATAGGCCAAACAAAAAACTATATTTTTTCTCAAGCATGAATTAGTCAGGTAATTGGATCAATTTTCTACTTCACTCTCGATGTTTTAAAGTGTGAAGGTAATCATCAACATAGGGATACCTGAAAAGGGTTACTTTAAATATCCATGTCTCCTACAGATTATTGCATTTGAATTACTTACTGATCAAGTGGTCCATAGCTAAGAGAACAGAATGAGAGAAAACCCTGTCAAAGGAGTTCACCTCACACATAATGATAAAAAAGTTCTTCTTAAGAACCTGTGTTTGACTGTATATTGGTGTTAACTGATTGATAAACAATGATTATTTTAACATGTATTTAGCATTTAAGGGTTTATAAAGTGCTTTTATAGTCATTATTTAATTTGCTTTGTACTAATCATGTGGAGTAGCAATACTACATGTCACCCATGTTTTAACACTAAAGTGTTATTAATATAATAGTAGGTAAAGAAATTTAAAGAGTTCCTAACTAATATCTATGCCTTTGTTCTTGACTATTTTGAGATATAATTTGCAACATAAAGGTTCATTCAACAGACCTGAGTTACTCAAACCCTGCACATTCCCAGGAAAAGCCTGTCTTCAGAACTGGCCCTTTGCCAGCTACTAGGGAATGAGCTCTGAATCCTCGAAATATTCTGCCTTGAGCCACAATACAAGTTTGATCAGATAGTTTACGCTAACAATATGATTTACAGAGAGTGCTTATTTTTGCTCTTGGGGGTGGGAGAGCTGAAAGCAACAGCTGAGGTCAGTAGTAATATTATTCAGATGTAACCCATGTTTTATCAATTCTTGTCCCACCAAGAAATGCAGAAATGGGATTCCTATACACTAAAACAATAAGAAAAAAATCACTCAGCTAATGAAATTCATCAATTGGTCCTCCTTTGATAATATCTATCCTGCTTGGTCCTATCAAAGTAATCTACACATGGTACGTTGCTACCACTCTTGTGAAAAAATCACAAAAAAAAAAAGTCATTCCTTTCCTCTAAAAATCAAGGCTCTGTACTGATATGAAGCTATTTTTTTGTCTAAATCCATCTTCATTTACAACAAGTTCTCTTTCAAAGAACAAAATAGTCCCCATGCAAAAACTCAAAATACAGATGAGTAAACTGAGGGTACAAAATACTTTGTCAAATGGAGGTAAACACTTTGATCAGAGTCACACGGAGAGCAGGAGGCAGACATAGAACCCATATTTTTTGTTTTCAAAACCTAAGTTATTTCCATTAAAGGGATTTCCCCCAAAATAATTCTTGACAATTTAGGTGCTAATTAAATAATTAATTAATAAGAACTGTGCAATATATATATTTCACACAGATACACACACAAACACACACACATACCCCTTAACTATGTATAAACTTGCATTAAGTAGAACGTAATCAAACAGATCTTAACCAAGTCTTCCTTCCTTTCCGTCTCACAGTGATCATTTCATCATTCTATCTTCCTACTGAATGTCCTGAAGAAAAATAAATTATTAAACTGGTCTACTAAAAGTCTTTTTTTCTTGCATGAAATATTATAATTCATCTTTTACATGTGCTCATAGCTAAATTGTTTAAAGGGATTTCTTCAATCACTGTTTTTGGATGTTAGTGCTGATTCATTCACATATAGTATTGTAATAATTGCTAATGGGGTAATTTTGAGATATTACAATCTATAATTTAGTATTATAGATTAAAATATTTATCCTACTATATATTTATTAACCCATCTTTGTTTCTTATTTGTTGCCATTTGAATTAAAATTTCTGGATGAAAAATATTATTCAATTTATTGCATTAGAAATTCAAGCAGTTTTTCAGGTAAGAAAATAACTAAAATATTTTGGAATTATTTTCAATGAGGAAGTATAAGTAAAAAGGTCTTTCTAGTTAACCCTTTTAAAATAAAACACACAATTAATCAAAACTCAATTTCCCCATGGATTCTGTTAAGCAAAGTATCCTGTTTTAAATCTTAACTCTTAATTTAAATGAAATGCTTTATCAAATTAAAGAAATATTCTTTGGCTCCTTTCACTGACAGAGGCTACAATAGTGTTATCATAGAAGAACAAGAAATGTAAAGAGTTTGTAACAAATATTTATGCTTTTGTTCTTGACTATTTTGAGATATAATTTGCAACATAAAGGTTAACTCAACAGACCAAAGTTGCTCAGACCCTGCATATTCCCAGGAAAAGGCTGTCTGCAGCACTGGCCCTGGGCCAGCTCCTAGGAAATGAGCTCTGAGCCCTTGGAATATTCTGCCTGGTAAGAGTATTTCTATAGGTCTGAGGCCTTAAGCCACAATACTGGTTTGATCAGATAGTTTACACTAACAATATGATTTACAGTGAATGCTTATTTTTGCTCTTGAGGGTAGGGGAGTTCAAAGCAGCAGAGTAGCTGAGGTCAGTCACACAGACGCTGCATACTTAAGTACATGACTCCCCATAAAAACCCTGAACACTAAGAGTGAGGTAAGTTTCTCTGGTTGCCAACACTTTGCATTTTATACATGAGGAAATCAAGGTATAGAAAGGCAAAATGACTTTCCTGAAGTCACATAATTAGTAAGGAGGAGAACCTGGCATTGACCTGTGGTATTTCAGCTTTGGAAATAATTTGTTAATTCCACAGATAATATCATTTACAATATTCACTGGCATAATTATATATGTGTGTATATTTATATATATCCCTATGCATGTATTTTGAAAAGTAATATAGCTCAGCCTCTCCTGTTTATCATTCATCAGGAAATCTAGGTAAGGCAAAGCAAAGTTGATTTCATTTGCTAAAAAACAATAATTAGTTTTTCTAAGAACCGCTAAGATGTGGCCTTTTTCTTTTTTCTCCTTTTTTATTTTCACTTACTATTAAGTATGGATTTTGCTCCAGACTGCCAAAAAAGATAAGAGAATAGCTACATAATAATTCAGTTTATAGAACTATAAATGACTTTAGCCATCTTTAAAAAAAAATCCTTCTCAGCTATGAATGAAATTACTCTCCAGTCTCCACAAGAAGTCTTGATTTGTCAAACTGCACAAAAGGCCAACCACGGAATTAACTGAGTGGGAAAATGAATTACCCCAATACTATTCCTCAATATCTGAGTTTCAAAGATTTATAAAATGATTTGACTGTAATTTTTCATTTCTGAAGGCCAGTAATTGCCCCCAGGTACTTTATATTAGTGTTTTACACCATCTAGTGATTATATTGCTTTTGAAAATAGCTACAGTCCATGAGTGCAAGGAGGTATGGAAAATATTTCTGAAAAATTATATATAAGCAGATGGATACTACATGAAGTGGATTAATATGTTAATTGTCTAAATGGAAAAGCTTGTCATGCAATTCCAGGCCATTAATGAGATCAAGAATCCCAACTCTGAAATAAAGCAGTGATTTTATGTCATTGGTAGCTAGATTTTTGCCCTTGCTGCTTTGTCATTTTGTAGAATAATTGCTCCCATAGGGAAAACAAAGTCAGATTAGAGAACACTTAGTAAAGTCGTCACCTCAAATTGTTCAAAATGACTGTGTTGATTACAAGAATCCTAGTAGAGCTGCTAGACCTGCATTATACACAATCAAACAAAGCCCTTGAAAATATTAGTTGGAGTATTTCAGATTCTGTACAAAAAAAGATGATTTGAACAATGACACACCTGTAATATAGCATGCGAAAAAAATATTCTTCTGTGTGACCTGATATTAAAAACAAGTATTACCCTTTTTTCTTAGTTTTATAATTTAAAAATATAAATCATTTTAAGTAGCTAGGATATTATTTATTTTATTGATTAAAAAAAGTCAAGCTTTTTTTAATAGACAACATAATATTTATATACTTTATAAGCACTAAAAATATGTAGATTATGATTTGCATTCTTGTATCATTAGTACCAATGCTTTAAAATAGATGAAATAGATGGAAAGCTAGAGTAGTACCTGTCATGTCTACCTCAAGGTTCCTCTGAAGTAGATACAATCTATAAAATTAATTACTTAATAAATATTTTATTGAATGAATAGCAAGTATCCATTTATTGATAGTCTATATCAGGATTTTCCTAGATACTTTTACAGGCAGAACAATGGCCCCCCCAAATATGGCCATGTCCTAATACTTGGAACTCGTAAATATGCTGCCACATAGCAAAAGGGAATTAAGATTGCAGATACAATTAACGTTGGCAATCAGCTGAAGTTGAGATGGGAGAATATTCTGGATATTGGAGAGGTCCAATGTAATCACATGAGTCCTTAAATATATCACTTTGAACCTATTTTTTGCCTATTCTCTAAGAGAATTATAACTCTTAAAAGTATTCTTTGTGGTAACTCTGAAAAAATTCTTAGAGAATAGGCAAAAGGTAGGGTCAGAGTGCCATGATATGACAAAAACTCAGCCTGGTTTTGCTGGCTTTCGAGATGGCAGAAAGGGGCCATGAGTCAAGGAATATAGGTGGCCTCTACAAGCTCAAAAAGGTAAGGAATAAGTTGTCCCCTAAAGCTTGCAGAAAGAAAAGTGGTCTTGCTGACTTCTTGATTTTGGCCCAGTTTAAACCCATGTTAAAATTCTGACCTATAAAAGAAAAAGAAAATAAATTTGCATTGTTTTAACCCATTAAATCAGTGGTAATTTATTACAGAAGAAGTATAAAGCTAATATAATAATCTACACATACTTTTACTTCTTAAAAATCCTCAAAGTAATCATTTTATTTTATTCCCAAGTTGTATGAAAGGGTATTTAGTCTTAGATACTGTCATCTGTAAATAGCAGCACGAGTCTAACCCACGTTTGACATACTCTAAATCAGTTCAGTTTCTACTGTATCACAGTACTTCCCAATCGGATTAAATATTAAAATGTTTTGAAAATATGAAGCTTCACAAGGCAATAAATATTAATATCTTTAGTTATTAAAAGTAATAACATTAAATAGAGCAACTGGTAGATCATTATATGCCATAAACATCATGAAATCTCTGCTGCACCGGCATGAAATAAAATAAAAATTATTTGTCAAAATAAATAATTATTCCCTACAGAAATATTGTTAACTCAGACAATGATCTCCATCTATTAGCATTTGGGGGTTCAGAGGAACTCTTAAAAATATGATACAAAAATTTTAAAAAATAAGTAATATTGGAACTTTTGGATTCCAGGCCAGCATGTAAAAAGTTTAGAAGTCATCACTTCATCCTACCAACAATTTAAAAGCTGAACAAACTAAAAAAATAAACAACTCTTTTTAGAACTATCAGCGAAGTTAGGTCAAAGGGCAAACCAATGCCCTAAAAAGTGGAGAGATAGACATACAAAATTAGGGAGTAACAACTTATTGAAGGAGAAATCCACCAGCAGAAACCTCTGTAGGAACTACTACTGTGGCAAAAAGCAAAACAAAAAATCCCTCAACTAAAACTGACAAATTCTTAGGTAATCAGTGTGGACAATTATGAGAGTTAAAAAATCCAGGGACACTCACTCATAAGAGGTTCTTCACATTTTTATGAGTTTTACCTTAGGAACTCTACCAAGTTCTCAGAGTAAATATTGGAAAAAAATCGCCTCCTACTTCTAGCAGAAGAGAAGAAAAGTAACCCCATTTTTAACCTAATGTAAAACTGGGAAAAAGACCTAAACAGATACGTCAACAAAAAGATATACAGACAAGAAATAAGCATATAAAAAGATGCTCAACACCATATGTCATTAAGAAACTACAAATTAAAATGAGATACCACTAGGTACTTACTAAAATAGCCAAAATGCAGAACATTAATAACACAACATGCTGGTTAGGATATGGAACAATAGGAACTCCCATTCATTGCTAGTGGGAATGCAAAATGGTACAGCCATTTTGGAAGATAGTTTGTCAGTTTCTTACTAAACTAAATCTACTCTTACTTACTATATGATCTAGCAATTGCACTACTTAGTATTTACCACCCCAAAGTTGAAAACCTAGGTTCATGCAAAAACCTTCACACAGGTATTTATAGAAACGTTATTTATAATTGCCAAACTTGGAAGCAACAAAGCAACCTAATTCTCGTAGGTGAATTGATAAATCAACTGTAGTATATCTAGACAATAAAATTGTATTCAGTGCTAAGTAGAAATGAGCTACCAAAGAATGTAAATACATGGAGGAGACTTAAATACATATTATGAAGCGAAAGAGGTAAACTGAAAAGGCTACAAACTGTAGAATGCCAATTATATGATATTCTGGAAAAAGCGAAACTATGGAAAAGAAAAAGCATCAGTGGTTGTTAGGGGGTGAGTGGAGGGAGGGATAAATAAGTAGAACAAAGAAGATTCATAGTTGAAGTGAAATTACTCTGTGTGTTAGTACAATGGTAGATACATGTATTATGCATTTATCAAAACCCATAGAATGAACATGAATGAACTGTAATGTAAACTATGTACTTTGGGTGACAATGATGTGTCAACGTAAGTTTATCAGTTAAAAAATGAGTCATTCTGGTGCCAGATGTTGGTAGTGGGAGAGTCTGTGGTAGGTGGGAACAGAGGTGCTTATGGGAAATTTTTGTACCATCTTTCAATTTTGCTGTGAACCTAAATCTAATATAAAAAATAAAATCTGTTTTTAAAAAGCCATTAGTAAATATTGAAAAGTCAATCAAATCTCTTAGAAAGTAGAAAAAAAGCAAACAAATGAAATATAGTCATGAACAAAACAAACTATCAATCTAGTAAGCAAAACGAAGACAACCCCAAGAACTAGAAACAAAGAAAAGGGAAAACAGAGAGGGAACATATCTGAGAAACAATACAACAAAATTTCGGAGATATGAAAACTGCATTTCCAGAGTAAAAGGGCTTACCCTAATGTCCAATACACTGAAAAAAAATCCAGATATGCTTAAAGCAAATATACTCACAGCAGAGCCTCCAGAGAATGAGAGTGAAGACAGAAGTGTATAAACAAAGGAAAGGGAATCAGAATGTTATCAGGCTTCTTGACAGTAACAAAGATTTCAAAATTCTTAAGAAAAATATTTTCTGCCAAAACATTTATTAAATGTGAAAGTAGAATGAAGGCATTTACAAACACACAAGAATAGAATTAAGAGTAAAACCAGAAATAGAAAAAAAAATTTGAGGAAAGTAAATATTTGTTTTATTCTATAAAGCAAAAGAGAGAAAAATGATGATACATAGAGGCTTGTGTAACATTGACGGTACATTTAAAGTTTGGTTCAGGTATTTATTACAGTGATGTAATTCCACATGCTAACAGCATGACTGGTGCTATGGTTTAAATGTGTACTCTCAAGTTCCTGTGTTGGAAATTTAATCCCCAATGCAACAGTGTGAGAAGTGGGACCTTTAAGAAGTGATGAGGTCAGGAGGGTTCTGTCCCCATTTTGAGGAAGGGACTGGGTTTGTCATCTCAAGAGAAGCATCCTCATGAAGCATGAGTTTAGCCTCCCTTCCTTTCTATCTCTTACTCTCGCCCTCACACTCTTATGCCTTTCCACCTTCCACTATGGAATGACACAGAATCAAAGCCCCTACCAGGTCCCTGTGACATGCTCTTGGACTTCACAGCCTTCAGAAATTTAAGTCAAATAAATTTCCATTCATTATAAATTACTCAGTCTGCAGAATTTTGTTATAGCAACATAAAATTAACTAAGTCATCGAGGACATCACTGACAACTGATGACTAAATTGAATCGTGGATGAAATTTAAAAAGCGAGTGAACAAAAGCAAAAGGAATAAGGAGAAAGTGATGAACCAGGGAGTGGTGTATAAAGAGACAAAAACTTAAAGGCAGTAGATAACAATTTGAGAGAAAATAGTAAAAAACAAGAACTTGAAATTCTAAATGAGCAAATTTCTCACAAGTCTCTATTAAATACTTTCGGCTCCTCCCTGTAGATTCCTGCATGATAAGGGAGAAAAACATTCATCAGACATTAAAAGTTTGTGATGTTTGGAGGGAGAAATTATTATATTAAAGTTTTATTTATGTAGCTGTCGTTTGCTGGAAATGATTTGGTTAATATAACACAAAAAAAACACCAAAATGTCATTATGATATTCTATTTTATTTAAATTATTATTATTATTTATAATTTGAAGATATTTACTGAGTGCCTTTTATGCACCGAGAATTGTGCTGAGTTCTGGTACACAGTAGGGAAGAAAGCAGATGTTATTCCGGTCCTCACAATGCTGATAACACCCTACAAATTTAGTTTAAAAATTAATGTGTTTCGGGCCAGGCGCGGTGGCTCACGCCTGTAATCCCAGCACTTTGGGAGGCCGAGGCGGGTGGATCATGAGGTCAGGAGATCGAGACCATCCTGGCTAACAAGGTGAAACCCCGTCTCTACTAAAAATACAAAAAATTAGCCGGGCGCGGTGGCGGGCGCCTGTAGTCCCAGCTACTTGGGAGGCTGAGGCAGGAGAATGGCGTGAACCCGGGAAGCGGAGCTTGCAGTGAGCCGAGATTGCGCCACTGCAGTCCGCAGTCCAGCCTGTGCGACAGAGCGAGACTCCGTCTCAAAAAAAAAAAAAAAAAAAAAAAAAAAATTAATGTGTTTCTACAAGCTATATGGCACTACATTAAATAATATTTATAATGCCAATGTAAACAAGCTAAATAACTGCAAGGTTCATTTAAAAAAAAACAAGAAATACTATTTCATAAGAAAAACTAACCAATTTGTTTTAAAATATATCAGTGCTGAGGCAAAGAGAGAAACCATCAAATTCTATAAGATTTTGCTCAGGTAAAATGTATTTTTTTAATTAAAAAAAAAACAATATCCTTCATTCACTCCATAGTATAACATACTGTGTCGTACACAGAATGTCAGCAAAAAAGAAGATACTTATAAAGAAAGATTTTTAATTAGGTAATTTCTAAGAAATTTGGGAAACAAGCAAAAATGACATGAAATTTAGTGTTTTATAAACTATGAATTGATGGATCTAAAATATTTTTGGTGCTCACATAGAAGCAGGTGCTTTATTTGTCAATTGGCTACTGTAAATAAATGAACAATATGGACTTTAAAAAATACAATAGCAAAATACATATGAAGGAATATCTTTTAAAATTAAAAATATGAGGGGGAGGGGTGAAGTAGGACCCTCCAGCAACTTTCTCTCTGCAGAAATACCAATTTGAGTAACTATACACCCAAGAAAACTACATTCACAAGAGCAACAGAAACCAACTTAGAGATCAAAGTATGTGGTTGTAGGAAAATAATAAGAAAACACTCATTGAAGAAATTAGAAAAGACTGTTTTACATCATCCATGTTACCCATTCCCCAACACAAGACAGTGCAGCATAGAGAGAGATAATATCCACTTTGTGGAAATGAAGGGAAGCAAGCACAAGATTTTGCCGTGGACTCTACCACTGGGCCTACCACAATAAAACCCAGCACTAGGGATATCCCTATAGTCCCATATTCCAGGACAGTATCCATGAACTGAGTCATCAGACCTGACCCAGCTGCAACTGAACCAAGCTTCTGCCCTGCCCCAGAAAGATGCCTGCTGTAACAGGCCACGGCTTCTGGCAGCATTGCACTGGATGCAGCTGCACTGTGCTTCAGGCACATCCCAGCACTGTGCCTGCTGTAGCAAGCCCCAGTCACCTGCATGTGCCATATTGGCCACAGCTTCCCTGAGCATCTGGCAATGCCATGCCCACTACAGGCGCACTGAGTTTGCAGTCCACCCCAGGAGTCACACCTGCTGTTGTAGTCCCCAGGGTTCTGGCAGTGCTGTGCTGACCACAATTGTCCCAGGTTTCTAATGCACCCTAGTGCCACATATACCTCAGGGCTTTCCCAGACAAAGCCAGTCCATGAGGACTGGAATAGGTCTTACTTCTTCAAATGAGCAGACATCAATGCTCAATCACAAGGATGAAGAATAATTAGAAAAACAAGACATTACCAAACAGACAAAATATGGTATCAATGGCTAAACCTAAATAAATGAGGATGTATAAACTGCCTGACAAAATTCAAACTGTTTTAAGAAAGCTCAGAGGACTTCAAGAGGATCCAGAGAAACAATCCAGTAAAATAAGAAAAACATGTGAACGGAATGAGAAATTTAATGAACATATACTTTTAAAAAACCAAACAGAAATCCCAGAGAAGAAAACTACAATAAATGAAAAAAATGCAGTAGAAAGCATCAAGAGCAGAATTGATCCAACAAGATAATAATAATAATAATAATAACGTGCGCTCAAAGATATGTTATTTAAACAAATGCAGAGGAGAAAAAATGAAAAGAAATGAAAAAACTTATGAGATTTAAAGAAGAATATCTAAACAAACTTTCATGTCATAGGTGTTAAAGAAAAAGAAGAGAAACATAATAGGATAGAAAATTTCTTTAACAAGATAGTAGTAGGTAATTTCCAAACCTGAATAAAGATGTAAAGATCCAGGTACAAGAAGTTAAATGTTCTCCAAGCAGATTTAGCCAAAATAAGACTGCCCAAATTGTCAAATATCAAAGACAAAGAGAGTATTCTGAAAGCAGAAAGATAAAAGAGACAACATATAAGGGAGTTCCAATACTACAAGCAGCACACTTCTTAGCTGAAACCTTACAAGCCAAGAGATACTGAGATGACATATTCAAAGCCTAGAAGGAAAAATACCCTGAATACCAAGAATGCTGTACTAAGCAAGTCTGTACTTCAGAAATGAAGTACAAACAAAAGCTGAGTGACTTCATCACCATGAGACCTGTCTTACAAAAACTGCTAAAGGTAATTATTCAAGATGAAAGAAAATGCCAATGAGTAATATGAAAATATTCAGAAAGTATAAAATACTGGTACAAGTAAGTACACAAATTCAGATTAACTAATACTCTAATAGTGCTGCATAAGTTATTTATATCTTAAATATAAGATATAAAACACAAAACCATTAAAAATAATAGTTACAATAATTTAAGAGATGTGCAATATAAAATATGCAAATGGTAACATCAAAATTCAAAATATGATGAGACTAGTGGAAGAAAACTGCATTTTTTGTGTTATTTATTTTAATTTTAAATTCAGGTGGTACATGTACCAGTTTGTTATAAGGGTATATTACATGAAACCAAGATTCAGGCTTCTATTGATCCTGTCACCAAGACAGTGAAAATAGGACCCAAAAGTTAGTTTTTCAGCACTTGCCCCCGTTCCTCCCTCCCTCATTTTGGAGTCTCTGTTGTCTATTGTCCCATCTTTATGTCCATGTGTTCCTAAGGTTTAAGTCCCACTTATACATAAGAATATGTGGTATTTGGTTTTCTGTTTCTGCATTAATCTTCTTAGGATAATGACAATGACCTCCAGCCACATCCATGTTGTTACATGGAACATGATTGACGTGATTTCATTCTTTTTTATGGCTGCACAGCTTTCCATGGTGTATCTGTGCCACATGTTCTTTATCAAATCCACCACTGATGGGCATCTAGGTTGCTTCCATCCCTTTACTATTGTGAATAGTGTTGCAATAAACATATGAGTGAAGGTGTCTTTTTGGTAGAACAATTTATTTTCCTTTGGGTATATACCCAGTAATGAGATAGCTGGGTTGAATGGTTGTTCTATTTTTAGTTCTTTGAGAAATCTCCAAACTGTTTTCCACGGGGACTGGACTAATTTACATCCCCACCAACAGTTATAAGCATTCCCTTTTCTCTGCAGATTGGCCAACTTCTGTTATTTTTTACTTTTTAATAATAGCCATTCTGACTGGTGTGAGATGGTATCTCATTGTGGTTTTGATTTGCATTTCTCTGATTAGTGATGTTGAGCATTTTTTCATATGTTTGTTAGCTGCTTGTATGTTTTTTTTCAGAGGGCCAAGACTCTGTAAGGGTTCCTTTGCTGTAGACAGGTTCCTGTGGTGGGTTTTACAGGCCTTGGGCGTAAACACAATATATTTTTGTTTGGTGGTATAATTCAAGTGTCAGTCCAGTAGATGGCATTTAAGGGTAAGGCTCAGTAGGCTCTTACTCTGCCATGCTCATACCTTCAGTATTTCAGTGGGTCTGCAGCAGTGCTCCAGTGTGGAGACCGGAGGCAAAAGATGACTCCCTTTCCATGTCCATTCCTAGACCTTGGTGTTGTCCCCTTTAACTGCTGGTGCTGCACCCATTTCCTTTGTCCTAAAGGAAGATTTTAGTAGGCTGCATTCACCCCCTCTCTTAGGGATAGTCCATGTTGAAGGAGGTCACCAGGAGGCATGCAACTCCCAGGGGACCATCAGTCCCCTGTGCTTGCCGGAGTCAAAGCAGATTGCATGGTATGTCTGCAGGTGGTCTGGTGATGCAGTGGGTTCAAGGGCAGAGCATCCTTAGGCAGGGTAGTGGCACCATGGGTTTGTAACTAGTGTAGTGCCCACAGCCCAGGGTTTTCAGCCCAGCCAATGCAGTGAGGCCAGTTCAACTTGCAGTCCCCCAACCCAATGGATCTCCCTCCAATCTCTGCCATGGGAGCAGGCCTGACCAACTAGGCTTCTTCCAAGCCTAGATCGCAGAGTCATTCCAGACATTCTAGACCACAGGACTCCCAAGGAAGAAGACATTTATCATGACATCTCCTTCCTGGGCTGGTCTTATGAAGGGAGGGATGCCCAGCTCCCATACTGGCACACAAAGCCATGACACAGTCCTCTGTATTCTTAGAGCTGGGGAGAGGGGAGGTCATCGTCCTTGTTCATGCTCAGGCCATAGATCTCAGTTCTATATCCCTCAGAAGTGCTTTCCAGTCCTGAGGAACTGGGACCATACCCGTGGGTTTGTCCACTGGCCCCTCAGTTATTGCACTGGCTATTCTGAGGGGCAAACTGCCTCCAAGCCAACAGCAAAGCACTCAGATGGGGGCGGTGGAATCTGTGCTGTAGGCACTCTCCTGTGGGAGCAGCCAGGCAGGTGGTCTTGGAAGAGGTCAACAGGCAAGGGGGTGGATGGATCAGATGCACCTCAGTCCTGCAGCAGTGGTGGCCCTGCTCTCTCCTGGACCAGCAGACAGCAGGAGCTGTAGCCACTCAGCACAAGATGGAGAGCCTTGAGAGATGGACATCTATGGTAACGTTTTGCTGAAACAACGCAATGCAGCAAAACCTTCTGGCTCCACATAGGTACAAATTGTGCCTCTGTCTGTTCTTTGGGCAGCTCTTCCTGCCAGTTTAAAGGTCTATGGAGGTCATAAGAACTCCTGTAGCTAGGATCTCAGAGGTCCACAGTGGGCATGTGGTGCCCAAGGTTCCTTCACTCATCACTTCCTTATGTCTGTTTTGAGTCCAGGGGCCAGTCCTGTTGCCCAACTACTTTGAGCAGACATCCGAGCTTCCTCTCTTTTTGATCATGGTGTCTGTATCACGTCTCTATCAATTTCTAGTGTTTTTGATCAAAGGTTCTCTTCCAGTATTGTCAGCTTTAAAATTTTTGCCAATCAGTCCAGAGCTTCAGGCCACAAATGTGGAGCTGGGTTCCCTTCTCTCTTGCACCAGTCTGTTCTGGGTTCTGCTTATCCATGAGCAACCAGAGTTATGTTTTTTTTTTCTTATTTTGTATTGTTTTTGAAATAAAGTTATATTGTTATCAGCTTTACATAACCAGTTATATGTTTTTGTAAGCCTCATGTTAACTACAAAGCAAAATCCTATAGTAGATACACAAAAAATAAAAAGCAAAAAAGTAAAACATACAACTACATAAAATCAGCCACAAAAAAGAAAGCAAGAGGCCAGGCATGGTGGCTCATGCCTGTAATCCCAGCACTTTGGGATCACCTGAGGTCAGGAGTTGGAGATCAGCCTGACCAACATGGTGAAATCCTGTCTCTACTACAAATATAAAAATTAGCCGAGCGTGGTGGTGGGCGCCTGTAATCCCAGCTACTTTGGAGGCTGAGGCAGGAGAATTGCTTGATCCCAGGAGACAGAGGTTGCAGTGAGCCGACACGGCACGGTGCCACTGCATTGCAGCCTGGGCGACAGAGTGAGACTGTCTCAAAAAGGAAAAAAAAAAAAAAAAGCAAGAGAGGAAGTAAAAAAGCAAAAGATCTATGAAACAACTAAAAAAACCTAACAAAATGGACAAAATGGTGGTAGTTTGTACTTACCTATCAATAATTATCTAGAATGTAAATGGATTAAATTTTCTAATCAAAAGACTGAGTGGCTGAATGGATTAAAGTACAAGAGCCATCTATATGCTGCCTAAAGAGACTCACTTTACTTGTAGAGACACACATGGGCTTTAAGTGAATGAGTGAAAAAATATATTCCTGCAGTGGAAACCAAAAGAGAGTAGAAATAACCAAACTTAAATCAGATAAAATACACAATGTGTCAAAAAGTGTAAAAAGAGACAAGAACATCATTATATCATGATAAAGGGGTCAATTCAGCAAGAGAATATAAGAATTATATATATGCACCCAACAGCATAGCAATTAAACATATAAAGCGAATGTTAACAGATTTGAAGGGAGAGATGGACTACAATACAGAAATAGTAATAGACTTCAACAGCCCACTTTCAGCAATAAACAGATCATCCAGACAGAAAACCAATAAGGAAACATCCGACTTAAAATATAATCTAGATCAACTAAATCTAATTAACAGCTGAAGAATACATATTATTCTCAACTGCACCTGGAACATTCTCCAGGACAGATCATGTTAGGCCACAAAACAAATTTTAACAACTTTAATAAGATTGAAATTGTATCAAATATATTTTCTGATGACACGGTATAAAATTAGAAATAACGGAAGAAACTTCAAAAAATTCACAAATACATGGAAATTAAACAACATGCTCATGAACAACCAATGGATCAATGAAGAAATTAAAAGTAAAATTAAAAATTTCATCAGGTTGGGGGGAATAATGGCTCATGCCTATGATTCCAGCACTTTGGGAGGCTGAAGCGGGCAGATCACTTGAGCCCAGGAGTTCAAGACAAGCTTAGGCAGCATAGTAAAACTCTGTCTCTATATAAAATACAAAAATTAGCTACACATGGTGGTGTGTGCCTGCAGTCCCAGCTCTTTGGGAGGCTGAGGTGGGAGGATCACCTATGCCCATGAAGGCTGAGGCTGCAGTGAGCTGTGATCATACCACTGCCCTAGAGCCTGGGTGACAGAGTAAGACCTTGTCAAAAAAAAAAAAAAAATCATTAAAAAAAAAATTTCTGGCTGGGTGCAATGGCTCATGCCTGTCATCCCAGCACTTTGGGAGGCCGAGGCAGGCAGATCACCTGAGGTCGGGAGTTTGAGACCAGCCTGACCAACATGGAGAAACCCCGTCTCTACTAAGAATACAAAATTAGGAAAGCGTAGTGGTGCATGTCTGTAAACCCAGCTACTCGGAAGGCTGAGGCAGGAGAATCGCTTGAACCTGGAAGGCGGAGGTTGCAGTGAGCCGAGATGGCGCCACTGCGCTCCAGCCTGGGCTCCGTCAAAAAAAAAAAAAAAATCCAGAGACAAAAGAAAATGGAAACATAACATATCAAAACCTATGGGAAACAGCAACAGCAGTTCAAAAGGGGAAGTTTATAGAAGAAACACCGACATCAAAAAATGAGAAAGATCACAAAATGTTGAAAATCAGGATACTAGAAAAACAAGAAAAGACTAAGCCCAAAGTTAGTAGAAAAAGGAAAATAATAAATATCTAAGCAGAAACTAATGAAATGGAAAGTAGAAAGCCAATAGAAAAAATTAAAGGAAACCAAGAGGTTTTTTTGTTTTTGTTTTTGTTTTTTTTTTTAAGTAAGCAAAACCAATAAACCTTTAGCTAAGCTAACAGAAAAGACAGAAGACTCAAATAAATGAAAGGAGACGTTACAATTGATACAAGTAAAATACAAAGAATAAAAGGTGGCCGGGCGCTGTGGCTCATGCCTGTAATCCCAGCACTTTGGGAGGCCGAGATGGGCGGATCACGAGGTCAGGAGATTGAGAACATCCTGGCTAACACGGTGAAACCCCGTCTCTACTAAAAATACACAAAATTAGCTGGGCGTGGTGGCGGGCGTCTGTAGTCCCAGCTATTCGGGAGGCTGAGGCAGGAGAATGGCGTGAACCCTGGAGGCGGACCTTGCAGTGAGCCGAGATTGCGCCACTGCACTCCAGCCTGGGCGACAGAGCGAGACTCCGTCTTAAAAAAAAAAAAAAAAAGGTAATTGTGAACAATTCTACACCAACAAAATGAATAACCTGGAAGAAATGAATAAAGCCCTTGATGCATACAGTAAGATACAGTAACTAGTAAGGAGATCAAATCAGTGATGAAAACTATCCCATCACAGAAAAGCCCAGGAACTGATGGCTTAGCTACTTTTTTTTTTTAATTTACAGAGGAGATCAAGATACTAACTGCTTAATCATATTAAACATTTAAAGAATAATTAAATACCAATTCTTCTTAAACTCATCCAAAAAACAGAAGAGGAAAGAATATTTCCAAACCTATAATAAAAAGCCAGTCTCACTCTAATACCAAAGCCAGGCAAAGACACTATTAATAAAACTACAGACCAATATCTCTGATGGACAGAGATGCAAAAATCCTAAAGAAAATACTAGCAAACTAAATTTAACAGCACATTAAAAAGATCATTTGTGGCTTGGTGTGGTGGCTGATGCCTGTAATCCCAGCACTTTGGGAGGTCGAGGCAGGTGGATCATTTGAGGTCAGGAGTTTGAGACCAACTTGACTAACATGGTCCACTAAAAAAAAAAAAAAAAATACAAAAATTAGCTGGCCGTGGTGGCATGTGCCTGTAGTCCCAGCTACTAGGGATGAGGCAGGAGAATCACTTGAACCCGGGAGGCAGAGGCTGCAGTGAGCCAAGATTGCGCTTCTGCACTCCACCCTGGGTGATAGAGCAAGACTGTCTCAAAAAAAAAAAAAAAATCAAGAGGGATTCATCCTAGTGATGAAAGGATAGTTCAACATATGTAAATAAATAAATATGACACATCATATTAACAGAATGACAGACAAAAACCACACAATCATTTCAATAAGTGCAGAAAAAGCATTTGATAAAATTCAAAATATTTTCACCATAAAAACTCTCAACAAGTTAGGTACGGAAGGAATGTACCTCAACATAATAAAAATCATATATGACAAACGCACAGCTAACATAATTAACAGGGAACAGCTAAAGACTTTTCCACTGACATTAGAACAAGGCAGGATGCCTGGTGCGCTACTTCCATTCAATATAGTACTGGAAACTCTAGCCAGATCAAGTAAGCAAGAGAAGGAAATAAAAATCATCTAAATTGGAAAGAAAGAAGTTAAGTTCTCTCTGTGTGCAGAAAACATAATTATATATGTAGAAAACTCTAAAGACATTACTCAATATGGTTAGAACTATTAATAATAAAAAAGTTCATTAAGTTTCAGGATACAAAATCAACATACAAAAATCAGTACTATTTTTATGCACTAACAGCAAAATATCTGAAAATAAGAAAACAATCTCATTTATAATACCTACAAAAAAATACTCAGGAGTAAAATTAACCAAAGAGGTAAAATATCTGTACACTTAAAATTTAAAATATTAATGAAAAAAAATTGAAGACATAAATGAAAAGATCTCACATGTTCATGAATTGAAAGCATTAATATTAATATTATTAAAGCATCCACACTACCCAAAGTAACCTACAGATTTAACACAATACCTATCAATATACCAATGACAATCTTCACAGAAAAAAAAAAAAAATCTGAACTTTGTATAGGAGCACAGAAAACCCCAAATCACCAAAGCAATCTTGAGCAAAAAGAATGAGGTTAGAGACATTATACTACCTGGCTTCAAAACATTCTAAAAAGCTATAGTAAGTTACGAAAGAGTGTGGCACTGGCATTAAAAGACACATAGTCCAATGGAACAGAATAGGGAGCCCCAAAACACATCCACACATTTAGAGCAAACTGATTTTCAACAAAGGAGCCAGAATACTCAAGAGGGAAAGAACAGTGTCTTCAATGAATAGTTTTGGGAAAATTGGGTATCCACATGAAGAAGAATGAATTAGACTCTTATCTCACACCATATTAAAAAAAAAAACAAAATGAATTAAATATTTAAATATAAGACCTGAAGCCATAAAACTACTGGAAGAAAAAATAGAGGGAAAGCTCCAAGACATTAGAGTGGGCAATGGCTCTTTGGATATGACCTCAAAAAGCACAGGCAATTAAAGCAAAAATAGACAAATGGAATTAATCAAATGACAAAACTTCTGCCCAGTAAAGGAAACAATCAAAAGAGCAAAGAGACAGGATACAGAATGGAAGAAAATAGTTGTAAACTATATATCTGATAAATGGTTAATATCCAGAATATATGCAAAACTCAAACAACTCAATAATAAGACAAATAACTCAATTTTAAACAATGGACTGGGTGTGGTGGCTCATGCCTGCAACCCTAGCACTTTAGGAGGGCAAGGCGGAGGATCACTTGAGGCCCAGAGTTCAAGACCAGCCTGAGCAACATAGTGAGACCCCCATCTCTATGAAATCACAATAAGCTGTGATTACACAACTGCACTCCAGCCTGGACAACAGAGCAAGATCTTGTCTTAAATAAATAAATGAGTATAAATAATTAATAAAAAATAAATTACAAAATAAAAACACAGGTAAAATACATGATTAGATATTTCTCAAAAGAGGACATACAAATCAATAGGTATGTGAGAAAATGCTCAACACCATTAATCATCAGGGAAAGGCAAATCAAAACCACAATGAGATATCCCTCACTCTTGTCAGAATGGCTGTTACCAAAATGGCAAAGGCTAAAAGGAGTTGGTAAAGATGTAGAGAAAAGGCAACGCTAGCACACTGTTGGTAGGAATGTAACTTAGTATAGCCATTATAGAAAACAGTATGGAATCTCCTCAAAAAATTAAAAATGAAACTAGCACATGATCCAGCAATTTCTCTACTGGGTATAATTCCAAAGAAAATGAAACCAATATGTTGAACAGATATTTGCATCACACGTTTACTGTAGCAGTAATCAAAACAGCCAGACGTGGAATCAATCTAAGTGTCCATCAATACATGAATGAATAAAGAAAATGTAATATATATACACAATAAAATAGTAACTACCCTCAAAAAAGAATGAAATCCTGTCATGTAGGACAGCATAGATGAACCTGGAAGACACTAAGTTAAATGAAATGAGTCAGGCACAGAAAGATAAATACCACATAATCTCACTGATAGAAAAAAATTGCTGACATAAAAGTAGAAAGGGAAATGGTGGTTATCAAGGGCAGGAGTGGTTGGAGGGATGGGGGAGAAGACGTTGGTCAAAAGATATAAAATTTGGGGCAGGGCGCAATGGTGCACAACTGTAATCCCAGCACTTTGGGAGCCTGAGGCGGGCAAATCACAAGGTCAAGAGATCGAGACCATCCTGGCTAACATGGTGAAACCCTGTCTCTATTAAAAATACAAAAATTAGCTGGGCATGGTGGCGGGCACCTGTAATCCCAGCTACTTGGGAGGCTGGGGCAGGAAAATTGCTTCAACCCGGGAGGCGGAGGTTGCAGTGAGCCGATATCGTGCCACTGCACTCCAGCCTGGCTACAGAGCAAGACTTCGTCTCAAAAAAATAAATAAAAATTTGTTAAATGAAATTAAAAATAAAATAAAATAATGAAATAAAATTATAAAATGCCAAGGGTTATGAATAATTTTTAGAAATGGTAAATTTTCACAGAAATTCAGAAGGGCATGAAATTCAATATTAGTTTTATAATACTAAGCTAAATACAAGTATACTTTAAATATTATAAGAAATTATCTTTGCCTCAGATTTGGAGTAAATTTATCAATATCCATTCAAACTTTAAAAGATATCTTTAGGTCTTTTTTTTTTTTTTTAAAAAAAAAAAGGGAGGCTGGGCATGATGGCTCAAGCCTATAATCCTAGCACTTTGGGAAGCCAAGGCAGGAGGACTGCTTGAGTCCAAGAGTTTGAGACGAGCGTGGGGAACATGGTGAAACCTTATCTCTACTAAAAATACAAAAATTAGCTGGGTGTGGTGGCACACACCTGTAGTCCCAGCTACTTGGGAGGCTGGGGCAGAAGAATCGTTTGATTCTGGGAAGTCAAGGCTGCCGTGAGCTGAGACTGCCCCACTGCACTCCAGCCTGGGTGACAGAGTGAGACTCTGTCACAAATAAATAAATAAATAAAAAATAAAATGTATCTGTGTCTTATTTCAATTTCACTCATTTTTTTGCAAGTAGGTGAAGCATATAATGCATTTTTAATGGAGTTAAGAACATTAAAACATGATTCACTATGTGTTTTCCCTTTTATTTTTAATCTGCTCTACATATGGAATATTCAGAATCAGACGTTTATTGGAAAGAGTGGATATTAAACTAACCTGATGAGTGACAAATATAGAATGTGTCAGAGTCTACTAATGACTAACATGCTGAAGAACGGCTTTTGCAGAAACACTGGAGAGTACACAGTATGCTACATGTGAAACACAGTGTGACTTTGAATTTATCTTTTTTTTTTTTTTTTTTTTGAGATGGAGTTTCACTCTTGTTGCCCAGGCTGGAGTGCAATGGCATAATCTGGGCTCACTGCAACTTCTGCCTCCCAGGTTCAAGAGATTCTCCTGTCTCAGCCTCCTGAGTAGCTGGTATTACAGGCACTCGCCACTATGCCCGGCTAACATTTGGTATATTTAGTAGAGACGGGGTTTCACCATGTTGGCCAGGCTGGTCTCAAACTCCTGACCTCAGGTGATCCTTCCCGCTTCAGCCTCCCAAAGTGCTGGGATTACAGGTGTGAGCTACCACTCCCGGCCTAAATTTATCTTTACAGTCAAATCCCTTCCTATGTATGGTGATTATTATTAGTTATATCATTTTCCAATTTTGAAATAATAAAGTAAAAATAGTTATGTAATGAGCTGGATAAATAGGAAAATACTATATGTAGAGACAGACATATACTTACTACTGTCCTGCTGCTATTTGTGATGCCAAGAGGTTACTTACTGACCTTATTTTAATGGTTACACTATTGCATATAACAGGGAAGCCCAGAGGAAGTCTGGATATTCAAGGCAATCTCTGTACAACTAGGATTTGGCCACAAATAAGCCGCATGGGAGAAAAAAATCAATTGCTCCTTAACATTGTGCGATCTTAAAATGTAGATTCAAAAATAAATTATTGAGCATAAGTTATGATTGATATCTATTGGAACAGCATGCTTTAATCCCAATTTTATATGTTCAGTCAAGAGGGAGCTATTTGACTATATGAGATTTTACACATCTTTCAGCTAAATTAAAGATATAAACATTAAAGTTAACACTTGGGATGTCACGAAGATTTGTGGTGTTCTCCAGGGCACCCTGGATCCATAAACCAATGAATGGATCCATAAATAAGCTATTTCATTCTTGGACAGAGTCTTGGTTAGAATCTCTTAAATTAATAATTTTGGAAGGCCACAGAGTTGTGTGGAATAAAAATATTTGGTGGTGTTGAGGCAGGAGATAGAAAAGGATCAATGGAAAATGAGAGGTGCTTTCTGTTTCTGGACAGATCTATGAAGGTGAGGCATAACAGATTAACTGTGTATTATCTTATGAACGTCCATGGCAGTGGCTTTCGGAACACATCTTCTGCTATTTTTATAGCAGTGTGATAAGGTAGTAAATTAGAACAAATACCCTGTGAGAATATATTAGCAATAACTCAATTAACGTATTATGATTAAATGATATTGAAAACTGACCAATTCCTGGTTACTTGTAAAGTCACCTGCCAGATGATTTGAGGGAAGCTTTGTTTTATTTTTCATAAAGCTTTTTAAACAACTGGAAATAATTTCAAACATCCAGAATTAAACCAGATTAGCAACATTTTCAGTCTTTATCTAAACAAGCTATTTTTAAAAAACTACTCCATGAAAAGAGTATCAGGTATTTTGAAAAAGTAGCCAACAATTTAGAATATTATTATTAATGTTGCTCAAAGTAAAGGTGTTAAACAACTTAACATTATATGAGAAAGGCACTTAATATAATAAGGAGTATGAATAATAGATGAGTAATTTTTAATTATTAATTTAATTAACAGATTAAAATCCCAACAAAGTGCTATTAAGGGCCCCTGAACATGACACTGATGAAGACCAACCACATTGTCTTTATAATGGGTAGTAAAACATGAATAAAAATTCCTGGAAAACAATATAAAAACATTAATACATTTTGCAGGCAGCCCATCAAGGTTTATCCCTTTCTGGACTGGGCATTTTGGAGCCAACCGGTAAAATTATACAGTCCAGACTGAGTATTGACAGGACAATTCTGAGTCCTGTGTCTGCCTGGCACTTTCAAAAGAGTGGCTACAGTTCCAGAAATTTCTGATTTTTGGTTCTACATTTCCTTAATCTGATCTAGGATGTTTAGAGCTTTGGGCTTAGAGAATATTTGGATATTCTCTAAAAGTGCACCAAGGGATACCCCCTTGGCCGCTTGGTTTTCCGAAAGAGGATAGCCTATTATTTCCCCTCTGATTTCCTCTCCTCTCTCCCACAGAAGATATAAAACATAACTAGCCTCTGTTTGAGAATGAAGGTCAAGAAAATCACCAATTATATGATATGCAAATTCTTTTTATGCCAGGATAAGTTATTGCAGGCTATTATCGTAACTGTGAAAGAGAGTGCTGCTGCTAGAAAAGCTTCAGCTGTCAGTCCTTTTGTTTTTGTTGTTGTTGTTGTAGTTTTTCCTTTTTTTTTTTGAGAAAGGTTCTTGCTCTTTCACCCAGGCTGGGGGAACTGCCTGGACTAAAGTAATTCTCCCACCTCAGCCTCCTAAGTAGGTAGGACTACAGGTATGCACTACTATGCCCGGCTATTTTTTTTTTTTTTTTTTTTTTTTTTGAGACGGAGTCTCGGTCTGTCTCCCAGGCTGGAGTGCAGTGGCGCGATCTCGGCGCACTGCAAGCTCCGCCTCCCAGGTTCACGCCATTCTCCTGCCTCAGTCTCCCGAGTAGCTGGGACTACAATGGCCGGCTATTTCTTTTGTATTTTATGTAGAAACAGGGTTTTGCCATATTGCCCAGGCTGGCCTCAAACTCCTGGGCTCAAGCAATCCTCCCACCTTGGCCTCCCAAAGTGCTGGGACTACAGGTGTGAGCCACTATGTCCTGCCTCTCAGCCCTTTTCAGAGTCAGCCGAAGGGACTTCCTCTCCTCAAGGCAGCCAGATTTCATCAAATCTCAATGCAAGTGTATAAAGGCCAAGTCCCCCACCTTACCTTGGGTTGTCCTAGAGCTCCCCATGGGGTCTGCTGAAGGCCTTTGTTGGATGTGCTTTGCAGCTCAACTTCTCCCTCTGCTTAATCCTGCCTTTTCCCCTTCTACACCACAGATGGTGATCCCCAAATTACTCCTAAGAAATTTCCTATGTGCCATTTACTATCTCAGGAATTAGAACCTATAAAAAAAGTAGGGAGCAATTAATAAAAGGGGGGCAGCTAAATTTGGACAACACTCAATTTAATTTCATGATTTTGCCTCAAAATGTTCAACTGCCTAGAAATAGAATATACAAATCAGATAGTGGCATTTATACAGGCCTGTAGCTCACAAAGCAGTGTGGATTAGAGGAAAAGGAGTGCAATGGACCCTGGCAGACCTGGGCTGGGATCCTGCTTTATCACTTAGTACCTGTGTGACACCAAGTAGCCTATAAAATTGCTTACAGCAGACCTTGTCTACATTTGTTTTTGCTTCACCCACCATGTAGTTAGAAAGATAATTCAATTGGCCATCTCAACTCTAAGGCTATTTCACATCATAATTCACAGATTCAGATTCTCTTGAAAACCTGAAATCTGTTCATGCTTAGCTCACTTAAAAACAATCATTGTACCTAAAAGGCAGGTGTCCCCCTTCCCTAAAAAATATACTCATTCCCACATTTCTTGTCTTACAGCTATTTTCATCATTTATTTTATTTAGCCAATTCTTCTGCAATTTAAGTTATACAAGGGTAATACTACCTACCTTTCAGACAAAGATACTGATTATCTTTGAAACACCTATCACAGTTCCAGGTATGCAGTAGGTACTCAGTTACCAGAAGCTCCTATAATATTTATGATGATAGTGCTGCTGTCATTAGCTAGAGGGAAAGATGACAGAAGTCTATGGACTTATCTATAGTCTAGAATACAAAAACAAGTATCACTGAAAGGACCAATGAACCAATATAGGTTAGGTAGCAAGCAGATGAGACCAAAAGTGAGGCGATTTACTGGAATTTTTGAAGAATTAAAGAGTAAACCTCATATTTAAAAGAGAAAACATTTTTACAATGATTTTGAAACATAAAATGTTTTTACAATTATTTCTATATGTTAATTTTATTTAGTTTATAATGTGTTCACTGAAATTCAAGTTTCAAGAATAATTGTTTTTATAAAGAATATTTCCAAATGTCTGTTTTCTTTTTAATTGCAACCCAGCTATGCTAGAGAAAGAAACACACTGCTACCATGTAGTAGCAACTACTCTGAATTGCTGGCAAATTTTTTCCTGAAATAATCAGTAGTCTCAGACGCTTTTCATTAATTCAAGCACATACCAGTGATAGAAATAAAACAGAAGTTACAAACCTTCTTAGTTGCATATTTTATTTGTTACCTAACAGCAATTTTATCTGTTACCTAGCAGCAAATAAACCCTATATTACCATTGTAATATGGAAGAGGATCACAATTGGAATTATTCTTGAAAAGAAATATTTACCAAACTAAAAGTATTTCAACATCTACTTTTTAAAAACTAAGTATATCTGAATCAAAATACAACTTGTTTATACAATAAAAACACATTAAGGCTATGGTACTAAATACGTTTAAAATGTCCACATGTAATATGAGAAACTTTGCCAAGTGATATCATGTTAACAATCTTGCCACATTCGTAGAAGTCCTTACTGAGAAACACCTTCAGAGTTTGCTAGACTGTCCTTCCAAGAAGGGAAATAATGATAAACATTTTGTATTAAATGAAATTCTATTGTTCAAACTGAGGTACAATGCCTTAAGAAAATGTCTACAAAGTCAGTAGTGGTATTTATTGCAAAGTAGTTGCTTCTGATGATATATATACCTACAGTATTCACTAAAATAGATATTTATTTAAAAAGATTGAAAACAGCCTTTTGCTAGTTAGTACTAGTAAAGACAAAAGTGTACCCACCAGTCTAATGCTCCTAAACAGCTAACAAAAATAAAGATGAATGAGGCCAATTTGTTCTACTAGTAATACAATTATTAGTAGGAACATAATCATCTGTTAATATGACTTATTTGGAATCTTCAAATTTCCTAACTCTCCATTCTCCAAAGACTGCTGATATTTACAAAAATCTTTGCTGTATCGATCAATTATTCTGATTCCAAGATAATGATTAATAAGCAACTATGCACAAATAATGATATTCCAAATGGAATACAGGTATTATCCGCTGAGCAATTTTAGTTTACTTTTGAAAATTACAGATGGTAACTCCAGAATAATCTCATAAAACTTTTAGTATATCTCTATGAAACACTGGAAGTTATAAATCTAGATTATTTCAAGGGGGTGGGAAGGGATACAATTAATATAGTGAGAGAAGAAAGAAAATAAACAGAGCATATATTGCATACTTTTCAATAAGTAGATATAAATAAATTATATATCAAAAAAACAAGTTGTTATTGAATGTTGGTACCTGTATCTATTTTTATTTATGTTTGCTAATAAAGAAGGGAGTCTCTTCTGATTAATTCACTGAAATTCTTAAATGTATATACATTTATATGTCCATATATATATATATATACACATATAGATATACAGTTGTTCCTTGAACAGTGTAAGTTTGAATTGAGCAAGTCCACTTATATGTCTCTGCCACCCCTGAGACAGCAAGACCAAACCCTCCTCTTCTTCCTCTTCCTCAGCCTATAAACCACAAGAAAACCTTTATGATGATCCACTTCCACGTAATGAATAAATATATTTCTCTTCCTTATTATTTTCATAATATTTTCTTTTCTCTAGCTTACTTTATTGTGAAAATACAGTATACAGTATATAATATATATAACATACAAAATATATGTTAATCAATTGTTTATGTTATCAGTAAGTCTTCCAGTCAACAATAGGCTGTAAGTAGTTAAAGTTTTTGTGGAGCCAAAAGTTATCTGTGGATTTTTGACTGCACAAGCGTTCGGCCACTCCACACTGTCCAAGGGTCAACTGTTACATTTTTTTGACTGAATAAGCCTAGGTATTTTAGTATATATATCCTAAGACCTGATGTCCACAATTCATATTTGCATTGGTCTTGTTCTCCTTGTTTAATACTTTATTCTTCATATATGAGCCTAGGAAGTTTAATTGAAATTATAAATAATCATCTGCTTTCTATATTTCTTTAAAATTAAAGTTTTCTTTCTATCAGTTTAATTAGCTTCTTAAACTGTTTTCCCAGTATGAGTTTTTGGCTACATTCAGATGAGTAATTCAATGGTGATCCATGGGCCTAATGGATAAGCCTGATTTTCCAGATGAGTAGCTCAAAGTGTAGCAAAACACTTTTTTTTCCTCCATAAGAAAGGTTTAACATCCTGACATAGTAGATGGAGATTTTTGTTGTTTATACCTTATTTATATTTAACTGCATGTGTGCATTTAATAACAACTTGAACTGTCTACATTATGGATGCCAATTGGTAAAATATTAGGAAATAAATTTGAATATTTAAATTTTAGTGTAACGCAAAATAACTTCCTGTGTCTAGTAAAATGCTGTGTTACTGGTGGTCTTTATTATGAAATCTAAGATGTATGATGTTCATGACCTTGAATATAAATCATTTCCTTCTTAATTATGTATATTGATATGTATTGAACATAATGTCTTTCTTATGCTAGCAATTATTATCAAATGAAGTGTAAATAGGTCTCCAATTTGTGAATTCAAAGACTACTAATTTTCTTTAAACAATAGTTACTATTTAGTATTTAACAATAATAAAGGCACATCATTTACACACAGTTATTCTGTGTGTCCTTTATCTTTTCTCTCATATTCAAATCATTCTGACACTTGCAAAGGTGTAAAATTAAAATTAAAGAGTTATTTGAGAAGAGCACAATCTCATATCAAACAAGTTCTTATAGGAATTTAATCACAAATAGCAAAAACTGCTGGTCAAAATAATGAACTTTACATTCTCATTTGCAAATGAAGAAAGCGGATCTTTTTATTATATTTAGATATTCTCAAAATATTAAATACCAACAAAAGCAACTGAATATTTTCTAACAGAATATAAAAGAGAAGTAAGTTACCGTTTGCCAAAACATGTGTCTTTGGATAATTTTATTCTACTACTGGGTTTTCTAACTTGAAAACCCTCAGGAAAAATTTTTTGCCAGGCTTGTTCCTGGGTCGTATATCTGTATTTTATCAAGAAACGTTCCTATGTAAATGCTACTATGTAGTTTTCTTTTCAAAGCTTTATATATTATTTCCCTTTTTGGAAAATGAAGACCCCAAATGAAAAAAAAATGAATTTTATGTTTAACATATTTTTGAGCAAAAAATGCATTACAGCAAACTTCCCACTGAGAACATGGTAATTAGTTAAGTTGGCAGCTCACATCTGGCATAATAAAGAAGGGAATATAAAAGTCCTTGATGTAACCGAAGTGTTTATCAGTTTTTAGATCCTTCGTGTTACTGCCAGATTCAAGAAAATATTTCATTAAGAGTTGGCTCTCTTCTCATCTTCACTAACTTGAAGGTGCTGCCCTCCTTACTCTCCTGGGTGCTAAAAAGATCAGTAGCATAAACAGCATTACATTTTACTTCTCAGATATCTCCCTTAAAAACGAGGTATGATGAGAAGTCAAATCTGTTAGCTACTGGGCTAAGAAAAGTAAAACAGCATTCACTTACAGAAAGATAAGTTCCCTTACACACTGGCATGCATTTAAAGACTTCCTTAAAATTTGGATATTCTCCGTTATACTTTAGCTCCTGTCCTTGGGGGATTGCATTTAGCTGGCTGGTATGTAGCAATATAATAGCAATATAATCTCATATATGAGCTGTCCTTCATGCACAAAACCTGAGGAACAATGTAGGCATCCAGATGTACTCATATATAATTGATACTCCTCAATTGTTATGATAGTGTTTTTAATTTCATGAAATATTTTCGGTATTTAAAGGTAAATTGAATCACATATTATCACATATTTTGGGTGTAACATCATTTATTTGAACATTTCTTCTTTTTCTTTTTTTCTTTTGAGACAGGGCTTTGCCCTGTTGCCGAGGCTGGACTGGAGTGCAGTGGTAAAACCATGGCTCCCTGAGGCTTCGACCTCCTAGGCTCAAGCCATCTTCCCACCTCAGCTGTCCAAGTAGCTAGGACAACATGCATATACCACCATGCCCAGCAAATTCATTCGTGTTTTTTTTGTAAAGGCAGAGTCTTTCTATGTTGCCCAGGCTGGTCTCAAACTCCTGGGCTCAATAATCCTCCCACTTCTGCCTACCAAAGTGCTGGGATTATAGGTGTGAGCCACAGCACCCAGTTCCTTTATTATTTATATGGTGTTCTCTCCAATTTTCTGCTTTTACCCCTAATTCTGTGTTGAACATTGTGATATGTAGAAAAGAAATACAAATTTTGGTAATAATACCTAGTACGTCTAGAGTTCTTTGGTTTTAGAATGCTTTAAATTATGTTATTCTATTTGATAAGTTGGTGAGTAAACAGTATCTCCTTGAGACAGTCTTTTTTCATTGCACTTTGAAATCATTTTACACATGAGAAAATGCATTTCAGAAGGTTTAAATGAATTAATAAGTAGTTGAACTCCTGTCTGCAAATCCAACTCTGCACTGTACAATAACTTTCTCTTTAATAGAGTATTCAATTAATAAATGTGCAGAGTAAGCGTCAAGTAAAGATATTGAGATAACAAAGTAAAATAAGATTATTTATAACCAATTAAAATGAATGAGTTAACTATTTCCCACATTTGTAGTTAACCTGGTAAAGTTAGTAAATATTATTGAGCACTTGTGGGCAGTGCATGACTAGCAAGACACAGGCGTGATCACCTTGAGATACCTGATTAATAGTTCTAATGCATTAAAGCCATAATATGTATCTAATTATTAAAAACAAGAACCAGAAAATGCATGTAACAGGAAATAATATTAAGTAATTTATCAGTTTTTCTGCTTTTACTTCTTTCTTCTTAAAGTTACTATGAGTTTCATAAGAACCTTTGAAGTTTACAAATATTTTGTGATGAGAAGCACAATTCAATTAACACTTTATTAAAAACCATTAGCACACCACCAATATTTAATTAAAGTTATATTTGAAAAAAAGTGTTGGCCAGGTGCAATGGCTCACGCCTGTAATCCCAGCACTTTGTGGGGCCAAGGCAGGTAGATCACGAGGTTAGATCGAGACCATCCTGGCCAACAGGGTGAAACCCCGTCTCTACTAAAAATATGAAAAAAATTAGCTAGGCGTGGTGGTGTGTGCCTGTAGTCTCAGCTACTGGCAGCCTGAGGTAGGATAATCTCTTGAACCCGGGAGGTGGAGGTTGCAGTGAGCCGAGATTGTACCACTGCACTCCAGCCTGATGACAGAGCGAGACTCCGTCTCAAAAAAAAAAAAAATGGTTAATTTAGTGACCATTTATGAATTGTTAAGAGCTAACACTCTGGTTCAGAGATTACTCTTTAAGTTAAATACAAACTTAAGAGCATAGGTCATTATCTCAATATTAAGAATAAAGAATTAACCTTACAATACACCTTGATATTATCAATAAATCAGAGCTGTTAAATAATTTCTACAAGACTAGTACGCAAAAAGCTTTGAAAAGCTTAATTGTGGGCTGTGCGCAGTGGCTCATGCCTATAATCCCAGCACTTTGGGAAGCTGAATTGGGTGGATTGTTTGAGCTCAGGAGTTCAAGATCAGCCTGGGCAACACGGCAAAAACCCATTTCCATCAAAAATACAAAAAATTAGCCAGGTGTAGTGTTATGCTTATGGTCCCAGCTACATGGGAGGCTGAGGTGGGAGAATCGCTTGAGCCCGGGAAGTGGAGGTTGCAGTGAGCTGAAATTGCGCCTCTGCACTCCAGCCTGGGTAAAAAAGATAAAAATAAAATCTAAAAAAGCTAAGTGTGTAGCACAGTATAAAGCATAGTTCTTGTTGAAAATTTGTTCTAAAAATGTTATTCAAATTTATATCATATTTCTACAATCTAATATTTTTATATTTTAATCTTTATGAATGTTTGTGTTGGAATATGAGTCTAGTATATACCACATTAGTTTAACCATAAAAAAGAAAATCATCAATTGATTCATTCAACAATCATCAACTAACATGTACCTCCACTATGCTTAAATGCTGAGGATACAATGGTGCTATGATTTCAATGTGTCCCCTACAAAATTCAGGTGTTGAAACTTAATGGCCAATGTGATAGTATTAATATTAAGTCGTGGGGCCTTTAAGAAGCAATTAAGCCATGAGCTCTCCTCCCTTGTGAATGGGGCTAAGGTCTTTATAAAAGAGCTTTAATGCTGAGTCCAGCTCCCTTTCCCTTCTGCCTTTCTCCATGTGGGGACACAGATTTCCTTCCCTCCAGAGGATGCAACATCAAGGTGCCACTTTGAAAACAGAGAATAGCCCTCAGCAGACAACCAAACCTGCCAGCACTTTGGTCCTGCACTTCCAGCCTCTGGAGCTATGAGAAAATCAATGTCTGCTCTTTAAAAGTTACCCAGTCTTCAGATATTTTGTCACAGCAGCATGAACAGACTAAGACAAAGGGAAAATAAGATAGACAAAGACTGTCCTTACAAGGCTTAGGGTCTAGTGGGGATAAGAGACAAGAATACAGGTAATTACATATATATATATATATATATAGAGAGAGAGAGAGAGAGAGAGAGAGAGAATTATATTTTTTAATGAAGTATTTTGTATATTTTCATGGGAAATGAAAATAGAAGCACAAAATTCTTTGGATATAGAGTTGAGGTCCACCCATTGTATTTGGGGGCTATTCATAAGCCTCTCCAGAGAAAGTGAAACCTAAAGGATGCACAGGGGACCAATTGAGACATGAAAAATGCTTAGGTGCCAAGCAAAAGATGGGAAGGGGAAGGCTGGGCATAGAAGAAAGTACTGTGGCTGATAGAAAAGTGCGCTCTGAGGCCTGCAAGCAAGAACCAGAGTCATTTTCAGGGAACAAACTAAAATTTAGTAAAACTGGAGGGCAAAATATGAAATATGAGGGAGAAAAACTATGCATGAGTAAAAAGCAGGTACCAGATCTTACTGGCTTTTATAAAACATGTGAAGAGATTTGGACTTTACACTAAGAGCCATAGGGAATGAAATGGATAACTATCATGCATTCTATCACACATTTTTGTCAGAAACATCATTCCCAGAAATAGAAAGCCATAGCAAGATCTTATAAACTAAGCTTCTAAACTATATAAATTTATGACATAAAATTTCACTTAATTGTAACCAAAGTAATGTAAAATATGCTGAAACACCACATGCACTTCCTAGAAGAAAAATAGTGCTAGGTAGAATAGAGGGGAGATGGTCACACTTATGATGATGATCATGAAAACAATATTAATGTCTTAATAAAATAAACTCAAGAATAAAAGTATTCAGAATGACGGTAGCATGAATTTCATATTCAGATAATATTTGCAACTAGAACGATGTTAACAATCATTTATGAAGGGCTCTCAACTACTACAATGGCCACCACGTAATCTACTTTTCCCCCCAACTTACTGCTAATTAATTCCACCCACCCCCAGCATTATTAAAGTATACTTGACAAATAAAAGTCGTATATATTTTTGCTGTGTAAAAACTTACTTCATTCAAGTGGTTTGGATGTTAGTTTTCCCTCTTCCTTCTTTTTCAATTATGATATATTATATCTATACTTGTAAGGTTACATTGAAGAACAATTACACTTTTATGTCAATGACATTCTTCATCCTTTTGGGTTTCAATTTATTTCACAAAAACTTGTTTGCCTCAATAATATATTTTTCTATATTAATTTGTGATAGTTTAAATGGATTAGAAAATAAAATTGTGAAAGAAATGCAAATAAATGAAAAGTTCTTCTGCCAAAAAGTTGTCTTGAAATATTTGGCTAAATGAAACAATACTATAGAATCTCAAACAAAACAGGAACTAATAGGATTACTAAGTAAATAAAGAAAATAAATTTCATGAAAGTCAAGTACCTAAGTTATTTATTTTCCTCTTAGAGAATTTCCATGTTCAATAAATGTAAATATATCAATAAATAATGTGCTTCAAGGGTAAACATTACTTTGAGTATGCTGTAAACACACACACATCCGCCCTTGAAAAAGAAAGTTTAGCACGCCCTGTGATACAGGAAGACATATCAAGAATCTCTTTATAACTACCCCTTGCTCTCCTCAACTGTCCACTGGCTACTCTTCCCCTGGGACCCCCTTCCCTGCTTTCCAAATTCTAAGATGGGAGGAAGATTAATTTAAATATTTACAAAGGATCTAATGCAAGGTTTTGATAATAATAAAAGAATTTTTTTTTGTTCTTGTCACCACAATAATCTTAGTTGCCCAGCTTTCAAATTCTGGGCATTGTTTTTTGACTCTTTCCTTTCCCCCATGTCCAGTAGTTACCAAGACTTATTCAATATAATTGTTTAAATTTTCCTTACATTATTTTCCTTTTATTATGTACTTAAATTCAGGCATTTTTACATCTTATCTAGTCTCTGTGGTCTCCTATAGAACAGTTTCCTTCACTTCAACTCATCACAAACTTACCTGGAACATCTTCATGATATACTGCCCTGGTACCCCAACCCTTACTGGCATTTCCTCATCTACACAGTAAGGCTTATAGTCCTTATTTATTTATTTGGCATTCAAAAGGTTCTCTTACCAAGCTCCAAATTTACCTTATTGCTATTCACTTATCCTATGTGATATCCAAATGTGTTCTATATACGCATATGGTACACAGTTCCCTGTGCATACCCTAAACCTTCCCTTCATCTGCCACTGCTTCTCTCCTTGCCCTGAGTTTCACAGCCTGACTCATATTTAAACAGTGCCATGAATGATCACCTGAAATACTCTATTTTCATGACTACCCTAAGCTTAAAGCAATCCCCTTCTGGGAAAAACTTTTATCGTGACTTCTCTTATGGCACTTCTTACTTTCTTCATTTTCTTGTGAGTGTTTCTAGATGTGACAATTTTCCTGATAAAGTTTGTTGAAAGAGGAGTTTCACTGTAAATCTTTCTGTATTATAGACACTTAGCAAACATTAAGTGAATGAAATGTTCTCATATTATGATACAGGTTATTAATGGGTAGACATCATGTTTTGCTAAATCATGGCCAACTAACATTTGTTAAATGAAGCATTACAGAAAGAATGCAGTGAAGGAAACAGCAGTGGATGATTAGTGAAAAATGCTCACACTATTGTGGTTGGGCATCACATATTATATACTGCAAAATAAATGTTGATAGGTACAATTACAGTGGGGTCATGCTTTGTAAAGTGTGTTCCTAAGACTGTTGTTATTCAATCCAGCATGGATGTTTGTTTGGCTAGCAAATTCTTGGTTTCCAGAACAAACCAACTCAATCTTGATTCAGAGTCTAAGAACAAGGCTCAGAAAACTACATATTAAAACCTCTTACCCTCACTCTTTCAAACGATTCTTTTGAACTTTGATATTCTGAAGTTTGAAAATAGTACAGAGTAATCACTTATTGATAAAGAATATGCTAGTATGTGTGTGTATGTGTGTGTATATATGTCTGTGTGTGTGTGTATATATATATATATATATATATCTTTAAATGATAAACCTTGCTTATAAGATGTTATTGTAACTAACTTTTCTAAGTCAATTCTGCTTAGCATGACACAAATACCAATAGGAGTTTCCCAGGTCCTACCACTCACTAGGAGACACGTCATACTAGGCTGAAGCCCTACAATCCAAGGACCTAGAGTCTTAGAGTTTCTAGGCACCTTCACGATGTTTGGTGTATCTGTTCTCTAGCCACCCTCGGAGTCATGAGTCCCAGAGGCTCTACCCAGGTGCCAGGCTCCCCTTTCCTTGCGTCCTTTGAAATTGTCAGTGAAGATAACATTACTTGTGCCAGCTGGGATATGTGTGTGTATGCTCATGTGCAACAGACAAGTAGGCCCTAAAGATTGAATGTGGGGCTGAAGGATGAGTGGTGCACAGATAAGGGGCACTTTAAAGGGCTGATTGGGATGTACTGTTGAAGCCTGAACCTGGAGTGGAGCAAGTGACTGCTAATAAATTAATCCACCTTACTTTTCCTTTAGCTGCGTAAGAGTCCTACACACTACCAGAGTTTTGTTTTCTAACAAATCCAGACTTGGCCCTCTTAAAAGTCATTATAATTTTTTTTTTCTGGTCTATAATGCAAATAGCATCCCAGAATGATTGCCCTTGTCCATTCCTCACTTTCAGAGATGTAAGAATACACACTCAATACCAACGTGAGGCTTAGCCTTGCTCATTACCTCATTTGAGTAAAATTTTAGCTAAAACATCAATTATACGTTTTCTAAAAGATGGCCCTATTTATTTGGAGATTTGTTTAGCAAATAATAACTTAGCAAATATATCTTTTACTCACATACCAGTTAGGCATATTTTGCCACTGTTATATAAATCAAATGGCATAAAGTAGACTTTTCACAAATCATTTTCCTCTGAATTGAAGTCAATTTGTAAAGGTACAAAAAAATTAGAGCCAAATTATCTTATGTCTAGCAAGTCATCCTTAATTTGAAATCATTTTCGAAGTTAAGATCAGTGAAAATATATCTGATAATATTTAGCAGAGGTGTATTTTAGAGAAAGAACTAGGATATTTTCCTTAGAATGTTATTTTCTGAATGCTTTCTCGAATTCAGAATTCCAACTTTTAAAGTTTTTGAAAGGATAAGACATAGAGTATGTTTTCATTTTTTTCTCCTTTCTCAGGAATGATACGTGTTTAAGTTTACCTAGTCCATAAGACAGTTCAGGTAGAAAAAAAAATTAGACTGCAAGACTAAAAATAAAATGTCAGTATAAAAATGAAAGTGAAAGTGTATTAATATGTTTCTCTCTGGCACTGGCATATTAATAGAAATGATGTTTTCCTGGATACAAATTGTGAAGAAATAGACACTTTGTTTAAAAATGTGGCATCAGGCATTTCTAATAGAAACAGTTTCAAAAGAGTAAATCAAGAGTATAAAGATTAAAAAAATCTTTATAAAATACACAACTATTCTTCACCTTTTTTTTTCTTTTTTTTATTTTATTTTATTTAATTGTGTCACATTGTATTGGCATTAACAATAGGCATCAACAAACTATCACTCCAAAAAGTCATAAATACCATGAAATTAATTTTTCTAAAACTTATCTCATATGAATTTATCCGCTAATGTATGTTTTATCTTTCTGACCTTTCCAGTATGAAATGTAGGTCTTCAAATATTTTAATAATTATTCCAGCAAATCTATTAAAGCTTATGCTTAATCAAAACATGACAGCCTTAAGTATGCAATATTCACAGAGAGAACACTGGACTTACTCATTAGGCTTTGGAAAGCCTTTAAATCTAGTGTTCTGCTTCTGATAAAAAGTTAAAAGCAGATTTGATAATGAATAAAAAATAAGGTAAACCTGAAAAAGAATGACTATTTGCTGATGTATTGTAGTATATTTATATATACATGTTTTGTGTCTTCTCAGGAATTTCAAGTTCCTTAAGTAGATGATTCTCATATTTAGGGGATGCTAAGCTCTCGAAGAAAGAACACAATGTTGAAAAATATTGTTTCCAGTAAAAAGAAAATCAGTATCTTTTATAGGAAATTTTTTTTATTAAAAGTCACTCATTTTCTGAGTTAAAATGTGACTTAAATTTTGTCATAAATAAGGAATTGAAATTATTTTCTACTAAATTGCCTCACTTTGACTTTAGTTGTTCTATACATACACCATTAGCATACTAATGCATAGTCAAACATACTAAGTCATATCTAGGAAAATAAACAATTAATTCAGCCATTATTCAGGGCAGAGCATATCTCTGATCCCTGGGATATGCAGAAGCTATACCTATGAAATATCAACTGCACACAATGAAATATAACACTGTTAGCTCCACTACTTCCTGTTTGCTCTAGTTACCACATTTTATCTAAGAATTATTAAGTCATTGTCTTACACTGAATTTGGCAGTCCTTTGTGGTCACAGAGCGAAGCCATAGCCTGAGGACTTACTCTTCCCAGGTAGATTTAGTCATACCAGTATCCACAGAGAAAAGGAAAAAACTTAGAAGAAAAGTATTAGGTAAGCAGGAGAGGAAATAACCTCTTTCAATGAGCTTCACTTTCTTAGGTCTAGACCTTAAGCTGTCAAACTATTTCAGCCAATGCTTCTGGGTGTGAAGGCTAAGAAATGACTCTTTCACATAAAAGGCAGCCCTTGAAACTCACATCTGATGCCATAAGGGACAAACTATATCTTATAAGAAACTGTGTTGGTTGCATGCTGTACTCTGTATTTATTTTACCTATTGTTGTTCCTCTGTCTAAATTTTGCTGCAGGATTTTGTTACAGCCTTTTAGGCATAATGTGTATTTTGAATTTCCCTAGAGGAAAATATTGTTTACAACACTTTCCAAATGTATTTGACAGTGAAATTCTTGTTTTAAAGGAAACTATGTTTTAGGGAAAATAGTTTGAAAAAGTTATCCTAGCTTTTACAAAAATCTTTTTAAATGTTCCGAAGTTTACTATGAGATATCAAGGAAAGATATTCATGCTTGAACCAAATGGATAAAAAGAAGCATCGCTTTTCCTTTTGGATCCATGAAAGTATCTAAAGGGAAAGTGAATTTGGGAGGGGCAGGGTGAGGAATAGTCATGGCTAAAAATATAAGTGTATTAATAGGAATGAGGAGTAATGATTGAAGGCAGGAGGATTAGAAAGCAGAGTACCTGTCCTCTCCTTTCCAACTATTAGGGTTTCGAGGCAGAGAGGAGACTGTCACTCTCAGCAATGGAATATCATTTTAAGAAACACATGAAATTATATATTTAAATTATAAATCATGGTTAGGTTTTGTTAACCTTATAGTCATTGAAGAAAATCGCCTTGTTTTTAGGAGGGAAAAAATTGAAATAAATTTCAGTGGTGCCATCTCATGAAATTGCTTGCTTGCAGGTAATCTGTGATTTCTGTTCCCTTCAAAAACCTTCTAAATTTGGTCAAGTCACATATATGTATGCATGAGGGAAGTAAAAAACCTTCCCAATGTCGAAAGACTTCCTCTGTTACCAACATAAAAGCTACTAAAAGTAGTGTGATCACTTTCTCTAGGTTTAATAAATACAGCTTGAAAAGAAGTGCTCTTTAGTCCACCCAAAGAGCCAGAAATTTGAAAGAGGGAATCTCAAAAGATGAGTTTTATCAAATGCAAAGCACTAGCTAATTGTTGGCAGGCTTTTCTCCATGAATCTACACATCTAGACATTAACAGCCAATTTGCTCCAGGACTATTTTTTTCAGAAATATTTGTATAAGCAGAAAGCTCTGGAAAGACAGAGATGATAAAAATAAACACATCTTGTTCCCCTCCCCAGAGAGATCTGCTTACATTCTAAGAATTGTAATAAATAATTTAACATCGCCCAAATTCATGTCTTGTCTTTTTCCTTGGCTTTTGCTAGGTCTCTAAGCCTTTGGAATTTCATAAAAGGCACTTATGGGAGTGCCTTTGCTTGCCTGAGGGACTTGGATCATACCAGATACTCTAACAATAGGAATTAGGGTAGAAAATGTCACACCAGATGTCATTTGGGGTGGAGTTCTTCAGTCACAATTTCAGCTCACACACTGGAGGGGCTGTAGACTAAGACTAGCCATACGGGCAGTAGACCATGATTACATAACAGAGCCTCCACAGAAACTCTGGACACCAAAGCTTTGATGAGCTTCTGGGGTTTGTCAATACTCCATCCATATTATCATGCAGGGTTGCAGAGAAAATCAGTGTTGTCCGTAACTCCACTGGGAGAGGAGAATCAGAAGTTTCACGCTAGGAACTTTCCTAGACTCTGCCACATGCATCTCTTCCTTTGGCTGATTTTAATCTGTATTCTTTTGACATAATAAGTCATAACCACGCATATAACAGCTTTCAGTGAGTTCTATTCATCCAGGCAGTGAATTATAAATACTTAAGGTGGTTTGGGGGACACCTGGACTTACAACTGAGCTCAAATGTGAGGATGATCCTCTGGACTGTTTCCTAATTTTGCACAGGGTAATAAAGATAACGTTTTTCTCCACGACAAAGGATTCCAATAGCTTCTATAAAAAACAGTCTTCTAATCTCACGGTTCTTCTGTAGTATACCCCTCACACGTGCAGGCATCACCTGGCCCTCATCCGGTAGTCCCCTGGGAATTGGGGCTCAGGGAACAGCATTACAATGTTACTTCGACTGCTGCTTTTACTGGAAGAAACTCTTGTCTCTGACACAGATGCCTCATATCTTTCTGTCAATATCTGTAAAACTGTGACAGGCTCACTCATTAGCTGAGATGCAGGGTGAAATCTCAGACCCTTTCATCACAATTTCAGATCCGAGGGTTTAATACTAATCCTAACTATATCTGACCAATTATTCACCATGTCTTCAAAAATATTTATTAATTAGAAAACTCATTCTAAGAGTGAGCAAATGGCCAGTTGAAAATGACTTCAAGTTACATATGATACTGTCTTTAAATTGCAGTGAACAGGCTTACAGGTGCAGTTAAAGAAGCATAATATCAGACATTCTTGTGAGATACAGAAACATTTCACTCTATGCCTGATAAGCAAACTCATTTTGTGATATGAAGGTCCTCAGCTCTGCTGCAATGGACTCTGTCATGGGGTGCCTGGTAATGAAAGATGACAGCATCTATTTACTGTGTGACATTCTGTGCACTCTCTTCAGACTTAATTAAAAACAAACAAAAAACAATCACCCACAAGGTTTTGAAATGCTTATTTTCATTGGTTGCTAAATTTCCAAATCTAATTCTGATCTAGAAACATTTATGACTACAAGCTAGCACAGTATGACTGCTCTACAAATGCAGGATTTAGGGCCCACCTGCATATTTACAATGTCTTCTTATGTAGGAAAGATTCATTCTCAAATTGCACCTGGCAGTGAAAAATGAAAATTTAGATACACATGGCTAAGATTCTTATAGTAACTCAGTGTGTTTTTAGGTTGATATATATTCTTTCGGCTCCATGTAAGGTCTCTCTATATATGGCTATTATAATTTCTATTCCACAACCACTAAAGGAAATGTGAACAAATGATACAACAGTATGAAACATGGGCAATTGCATGTGAACTCCTAGTTCAAAATCTATTCAGTTTCTAATACTTTAGTTTGACAGACATGTATTACCAGCAAATGTCAGTCAGGTAAATATATGGGCCCTAAATGCCAATGTTTCTATGAATAAAATTTTAAAAAATAAGGATTTTGAATTAAATGTGAATATGTATAATACATAAGCATAACTTTTTAAAGAGCAAATAATTTTAGTAAATTCCTTTTCCTCATTCTCCAGACCAACTACAATTTCAAAATGAAAGGGAAAAAGAGCTATGATCAGAGGTTTGTTTATGTATGCTAGAAAAACATACTATCCCAAATATAACATAGGCTTACTTGTCTCATAATATTGTTTTAATAAAAACTCCATTAGGATTTCTGGGACAATAAAAATTGACTTTTAAAAATTATCAACAACAACATTTATACTTTAATTTTGCAGTAAATATTGTAAAGGTCTTTATAGTTATTCAAAATAACTCTTAAGTCTACTAAAAGATAAAAGCTTTTCCTCTTTTTTATCTAGCATATACACTTGCAATTCAGCTCAGGTTTGATTTATAGTTTGTTAGCACAGTTTGTCATAACTGAGTACCCTAAGTGACTGAACCTTATTTGCATCAAAACAACTTGATTGCGGTGCATGAAGCTTAGTTGGATCGCTTTCCTGTTATTGATGCAATGTTATCCCATAGCAACAACAGAAAAAGAATAACATCTCTGAGCCTGACTAGAATAAGTGTACTTCTCACTTTCCTCCTGCTGAGCGAAAACTCCATTTTCATCTCATCTGCAGAATATTATCCGCAAACCTAATGGGATCTGACAGTCCATCTTAAATAGTGTCATCAGGTAACAAAGAGAAATCTGAGGCTATATTACTCTTGGTCATTTTGATGACTGTTTCTTTTTCTCTCAATTTGGACAAGTAACTGGTACTCCCCATCAAAAGGCTTTTAAATTTTTTTGCTTTTTAATCTGAATTTATCTCTGAAAAGTTCTTTTATCACAATTCAAAGTTTCAAACAAATTGTTATAAAATCTGATTGAAATATTGAGTCGTATGACTATTACTAAGCAAATTATATAATAATTTATAAATGTTACAATTTTATGAAATCATACTAAACTAAAAAGTAAATTGATAAGTATCTGATTCTCAAATTTTTAAGAAATAAATAATATGGAATGAAGAACTTGAAGAAATTAAGTGACAAGTTTCATTAGATATATAATGCTGTTGTTGAATACATTTTAAACCATTTTCAGGAAAAGAATTTGTGGCAGTAGGATGACAGAAAAACATTTATTTGTATCCACAAAATAAAAGTGCCAGTTTTGAAAACAGTTTCAAACTATTTTCAAACATAACATCATAACATTTATAAATAACATAACATCATAACATTTATAAATCAAATATATATGCATACAGATATTAGCTGCTATATACATATATTGAGAGAGAGTGAGAGAGAACAGGAGAGAACACTACATATATTTATACATAGCAGCTAACATATAAAGAAGACTTCCTGTGTGTGGTATAGTGGTATAGTTTGCTATGTGTCATTCCTGGATTTAATTCCTTTGCTAACTTTCACCGTGTTACAAATTGGTAAACTCACATTCATAGTTGTTAAGTAACTTGCTCCAGATCAGTCACTTTATAGAGTTTGGGATAAGATTTGAAGGCCAACAGCTAAATCGGGGCTCTCCACATTTTCTCAGTATCTTGTAGCAAGGCAGAGAAAAGCTGACTTTGAAGGCAAAAAATTTAACTTATCAACACTGTTATTATTATAATCTTAATGAGCAGTAGCGAATGGTAGAGAGAGTATTCATTCTCTCTTACATTTGGCTTTTTTCTCAGACTTTCTTCAATGTCTTTATTTTACTCATGTCGTTCTCTGTCTTCTTGCTTTGATACTCAGCAATTTCTACATCCTTTTCTTCCAATTACTTTCTTTTTACCCTCTTCATTTTCTTCTTTACTTGCCTAGCCACAGCATCAGGCCAGGATGAAAGAAGTAAAGCCAGTATCTACAACTGTCTAATGGTTACAGTAGCAAAGAAATTTTCTTACCTAATGAATCAATAAATGGTGGAATTTCAAATAGTGAACTTAGTGAAAATTTTAAATGTAGGATTTTAGAAAATAAAGAGAGGAGTATTTCATAGTTTGGACCTCTATCATGCATGATCATAATATTTTAATCATAAAACAATTTTATTGATTGCTTACTAAACAACCACTGTGCTATGCACTATGCATCATGTCATGTGATTCCCATTTTTGTTGTTTTTGCTTTACATATATGGAAACTAAAGCTCTTATTAGTTATGCAACTTGCCTAAGACTCAAGAGCTGGGAAGCAACCCAGTAGGTGTTGAAACCCAGGTCTGGCTGAAAGTCCATGATTTCCTAAGCTCTCTGCCATGTTACTCTGTAACCTCACACCTAGATTTAAATCTAGAAATTAATACAAATATATCAATTAAGTGGAAGTGGCTTTCTTTGGTCTCTTCTCCATGGGCATTTTCTCTCATGTCATCAAAATATTAACTACATAAAAATAAAATAATTTGCAAGCAAAGGTTCTGCTGTTGTCTATTACAGTTTTGAAATATATAATGCTATTGAACAGGCATGCTGACCTTCCTCTGGAGATAAATTGAGTATTAATCCCATTATCCACACATGACATAAGTAAAAATGCAGATCTTACCTCTTAGAGGTAAAATTTTTATAATAGGCCTTATCTAGTTTTATTTCTCTGTATCCACACAAAATTTATCTATGGTGTTTTTAATAAACACAAAATATGTTATTGAATTTAAGAACTCTTATTAATCTGAAATATGTGTTTTATACTTATTTTACTAGAAAAATCTATTTCACAGTATTATTTTTCTATGTTAAGTTGAATCTCCCTAATAGTTTGCATTGAATATTTCACTTTTCAAAAACTGTAAACAGGGTAGCATTAGCTACCAAAGAAGCTTAGTCCAAAACCTTGCCTTAGCACCCAGGTTTATACTGAAATTACTCAAAATCTAACTGCACAAACTAATTTGCTCCGTTCCTTATAGATAACTTATGGTCAGTGTCTGAAATTGCCCTGTTTCTTGCCATTTCCATGCTTTTGCTTTTATTCCCCTTTCTTAGAATAGAAGGGTCTCTATAAATGTGTTAGAAATCCAACCTCTCCTTCTACATTCAAGTAAATTACTACTACTTATATAAACCACACACTGACCTCTACACAAAAAGTGATCACTTAATACCTTCAATTCCCATAACAATGTATTTGTACTTTCTTATAAGTTTTATTTATTCATTTAGCCAGTCGGTTGGATGATTGTTTGCTGGGGTACTACCTTTTGCTACAATATTTTACAGTTCTCACAGTCCCTACAAAACTTTGAGACAGAAAGTAAATCTTACTTATTTTGTGTCTCAATATAATTTATAGTTCATTCAACAAACATTTATTTGCCAGACTCTGTGTGGGGCTCAGAAAATGCATGCAAAAGTGGTAAGATCCCTACCCAATTAGAGTCTGTATTCCAGTGGCTCACAATCAAATTATAATAACAATGAATGTAAACGTGTAATTGCCACAAGAGCTAAAAATGAGCAGTATTTGGTCTTATGAGAGCTTACAACAGGGTATTTTATCACATAAAAAAGTCACTAAAGATTTTGCTAGGAAAGTCTGAGTTTAATCTAGAATATATGCACTGAGAGCCTCCTATATTCCAGAGAATGTTTCAGGCACTTAGGCTGCATCAGTGAATCCCTGTCTTCCTTAGGACTATATTCTAGGGAAGGGGTTCTTAAACATTTTCATGACCTACACTCATTTGTTAGTTTTGTAAAACCTATGGACCCATTCTTAGAATTATGTGTTTGCATGCATAAAATAAAATACCTAGGATTATAAAAGAAAGCCACTATATTGCAAAACAGTATCTAAAATATTTAAAACAAAATTGTGATATAATAAGTTTACGTACCTTTATAATTTTCTGAAATTATTTAGATATGAAAAGTTGATTGAAAAAAGTTATGATAGAAATTATACTGCATTTTCAGTTCTTTCATGGATTTTGTCACTTGCAGAAACATCCATACAAAGAAATTATTTGTCAGCAACTTTATGCAAGATAATTTTTTTATTTTATTAATATTTACAAAAATATCAGATGCCAAAGTAATTCACATAATGCAAAAACTGGAAAAATAATTTAAAATATTTTATACTTGAATGATTCAGTTCACAAAGTCCTCACCATTATATTTCTCATTATAATTAAGATAGCATTTCATTATTTCTGAAGAAAAATTAACTCTCGTGGAGACAATCTAGAGATTTCATAAGGTAAATATTTCAAATATTTCAATTACAGAACAAGCAAATAATCCATCAATGGATTAATTTTGTTTTATAAACATGCTAGAATATTATCTTAAATGAGCTAGCCGTTAAGGTTGTTATAAAATACAGTATATCATGCTACAAAATAATACACTGTGCACTCAATCTAAAGTTTATGAGAGAAACAAATCTGAGAAAATGTAAATCAAAGTTGTCAAGCAGTAAAACAACAGAAGCCAAGTTTTTCAAGTAAAAACTTTTTAAAAATACTTTCAGGATAGCTGAGGGCAATGGCAACAATATAACTATTTATCTCCCATAATATCCCCTGCAAATAAGAAAAAAGAGAAAGAAAATCAAATTCTACATTTAAGAAAAAACTAGGAAAATTAAATACTATGTAAATTAAATTAAAAGTTAAATTCTATGTAAATTATTCAAGCATATCTTATATAGAGAATATCAAAACTGCATAACTATGAGTGAAAAGAGGAAAATCAGGAAATCCCAGAGCATCATGTCTCCTGCTGCAACCCCCAGCCCCATCCCTACTCACAGGCAAACAATGGGGAAAACAAAAGAAGGAGTGACTTACAACAATAACTAGAAAAATAAAATCCACCTTATATCTGAAAAGAATGAAAAGATATCTGTGCAGATCAGAGCAGGGACAACGGGAAAGAAATTTCTAAGTAAGCACAATTTAAAAGGTCCCATCCCTTTTAAAGAGACAAACATAATTTTCAAGGCAGACATGATTTAAAGAGATACAGTAGATGCAATTTAAAGATGAGCTCTTAGAAAACAGAAAAGAGAAAAAATGGTGAGAGAAGTACAGGCTACTGGATGATAAAGAAGAGACAATAAGAAAATAAAATTTAGGGTCTTGCAAGATAAAATGCAAATCATAAAACTGGAGGGTTAACAATCCTTTCCCCACTACCATAACAAAGATCCTCTAAAGTACCTAGATTTGCTATATTGAAAGAAGAAGGAACAACTAAACTAGCACTGTTGTATAAAACCCCAGTAGATAAAAGTGAAGAAAAGTCCTTACACAGCTGTTGCAGAAAAGTAGGAAGCTAAATTCCACACATACCAACTGATAATTCCTTCATACAAAGCAACCACAAAGCAGAAGAAAATTAAGTTAAAACACAATGCAGGATTAAATATACGCAAATAAGACACATGATATTTTTAAAAACTATCGAATCAGAAATTCAAAATTTACAAACAAAAGTGGAAAAAACGGACAAATGGAAAAGAGCTGATTGACCTCAGGAAAGAAATAGAAGAAAAAAACAAAATTATCACTGAAATGAAGAATACATTATAAAATGTCCAAATGAGAAAAAACTCGAATGAAAATTCACAAAGCCTCATTGAAGAAAGGCAAGAAAGAAGCCCCTAAAAACGAAAAAGATATAAAAAAGTAAAAGGGTCAGAGAGAAAGTAATGGAAATGGAAGACAGGCAAAAAGAACTAGTATTTAAATTATAAAATATTAACTTGATGTAAGAAAAATAAAACAATGCAACAAAGCTAATGTTTACAAGTGTAAAGCTTAAGGAAGCCTTTCAGAGAAAGAACAAGACAACAATCTAAACTTAAAAAGGTTCACCTGAGGAAAATTAACTCAGAAAATTACTCTGAAACATATCCTATTAAAACAATTAGATTTCAAAGTTAAAGATAAAATCATCAAGGCCTCCCGGCAAAAGTGGCAAATAATTTACTAAGATGAGATAATCAGATTAGCAGCAGGCTTTTCAAAACCAATATACGAAGCAAGAGAACAAACGAGAAAATTCACTACATATCAATGATAAAGAAAAGCGTTTTCAACACCTAGGGACTTTGGAAATTCTGTTTTCATCAGTCTTCCTAAAAGAATATACCTCAAATGAGTTTCATTCAAATTTAATAACAATAACCATGTAAGGTAGCTAGAATTTTCCTCATTCCATCAAAAAAGAAACAATGGTGAAAAAGATTAAGTGAAAAGACTAAATTCAATGCAGCATCAGTAACAGAACTGGGATGTAAGCCAGATCTTCAATTATCAGGGTAATTAGACCCAGGTCTTTAATTTTCAGGCCAATGTACTTGCCATTAAGTCATAGCTTTCTCCTCATTTAGAGTAATCAAGGTCAAGGTACAGACTGACTCCAAATACACATCGAAGGCCACAGTTGCCACACACTTGAATACCTGGTTGCCTCTAGAGTACAATAATCAGACAGAAGATGATGGAAACAAGGGCAAGCCATTAACATGGATGAGCCATGAGTATGTTTTTCTCAATTACAGTATATACACTTAATCCTCCCTGCTATCTTGCAAATAGGCTAATTATCGCAACTCTCACTAAAGGGAGAAGATGTAAAGTATTCATAAAAATGGAATATTAGGCTGGCCACGGTGGCTCACGCCTGTAATCCCAACATTTTGGGAGGCCGAGGCGGGCGCATCACCTGAGGTCAGGAGTTCGTGACCAGCCTGGCTAACACGGCAAAACCCCATCTCTACTAAAAATACAAAAAATTAGCCCAGTGTGGTGGCGGGCACCTATAATCCCAGCTACTCTGGAGGCTGAGGCAGGAGAATTGCTTGAACCCAGGAGGCAAAGGTTGCAGTGAGCTGAGATCTCACCACTGCACTCCAGCCTGGGCGACAAAGCAAGACTCCGTCTCAAAAAAAAAAAAAAAAAAACAGAAAGAAAGAAAAAGAAATATTAGTGTCAACACATTCTAGTTTGTATGTTATGTTACAATCAAGGCATATTATAGTCAAGACATATGATACTCAAGTCATTTAACTACAGTCTCCATCTCCTCATCTGTGAAACTGTAATTAATGTGATTAATAGGATTTGCTCAAGTCAAAGCAAAGCATCTGAGTTTTAAAAATATAAGTTATGCAAAGTATCATTCCCATTGATTTATTTTTTTAATGTGTGCTGCCTTCCTGTATCATTTTACAATGTCATCTGTGACTCTTCACATACAAAGAAAAAAAAAGTTTCAGTGATATTTATTGAACTACTATTTGCCTGGCAGTATTCTATCATTAATGTATATGGAGAAAAGAGATCCCTGTACTTATAGTGCTTACATTCTAGCTATGAGCCAGTGTAGGTATAGATGTGACAAAGCTGCCCATAGTCCCCTCCTTGAGCACTGCACAACCTTATTTAGTGGCTGTCTGTGCTAAGTGTAAACAATATAGTTCTTTAAAAAAATTCTCTTTAAATCAAATGAGTTTTACTACTATTAAAGTAATACAAAATGATTCCTTTTTCTTTGTTGTTTTTTTGTTTTTTGTATTAATGGGGTTCCACTATGTTGTCCGGTCTGGTCTTAAATTCCTGGGCTCAAATGATCCTCCCACTTTGACCTCCCCAAGAGCTGGGATTACAGGCGTGAACCACTGTGCTCAGCCCAAATGATGTCTAATGCCTATACTAACAAAGCTCTGCCAAAACATTGAGCTAGGTGGAAAATATTGCATATAATTTTTAAAATGCTAAATAAAAAATTCACACAAATATTCAAATATTAATAGGTTCTAGATATCTATTTTTAAAATATATTAATAATGTATTTAAAATGTGGCAGTTAATTATTCTCAGTGTAGCTAAGTAAAAAAAAAGAATTTGGTAGTTAATGTTATTTATTTTCTTCCTATTCCTGATGAATCTAAGCACTGACACATTAGAACAATGTTCCTCAATATTTCAGATGCATAAGATAACCTGGTGATTTTGTTAAATACAGATTCTGATTCAGTAGATCCAAGATTCTCCATTTCTAGGTCTCAAGTGATTTGGATGCTGCTGGTCCATTGACCACATTTTGAGTAGCATGGCATTAGAGCACCCTTAAATGCAGATGGTATGCTGATGAGAAGAAATCTAAGTGTGTGTATAATAAATGATTAACTTCAGTAGCAATTACATCTAATCCAAAAATACTCTATAGTAATAACAATACAATGCTCAACTGGTAGACCAGTTAATATTTCTTCCTTGCAGTGCAACCTGAATTGATTTCCTATCCTAAATTGTTTAAAAGTAAAGATTAATGTTAAGCCTTCAATAGCAATGATCTCACCTATTTTTTTATGTATCTCTGTGTGAGCATGTGAAATATTTAATATTTGCTTTAGCCTTTCAATATCTGCTTTAATTCCTGCCAAAAGTAATAGTGGGGCTCGTCCATAGTAAAGTTTTTAATATAGAGAATAGGTAAACATCACACACACACACACACACACACACACACACACACACACACACACACAAAAGGCTGGCACAGCCTGGGCTCGGTGGCTCACGCCTGTAATCCCAGCACTTCGGGAGGCCGAGGCGGGCGGATCACGAGGTCAGAAGATCAAGACCATACTGGCTAACATGGTGAAACCCCGTCTCTACTAAAAATACACAAAATTAGCCAGGCGTGGTGGCGGGCGCCTGTAGTCCCAGCTACTCGGGAGGCTGAGGCAGGAGAATGGCGTGAACCCTGGAGGCAGAGCTTGCAGTGAGCCGAGATTGAGCCACTGCTCTCCAGCCTGGGCAACAGAGCGAGACTGTGTCTCAAAAACAAACAAACAAAAAGAGCTGGCACATATTTCTGTTCCAAGTGCCTAGCCTAGTGACCAATTGTAAACATCAAACAACTGCTTAAGCAACATATTTCATTCAATTGTACAATCAACTCGAAGACCTGGTACTGAAGCTGTCTGTAAACTTTGGCAACATAATTACTTTCAGGAAACTGTATTATTCTGAAGGGTAAATGGGATATTCTTTGTTAAAGCACCTGACATGATATCTGGAACATTCTGTTTCTGAATCACATTTTGTCAAGTACCTGTAATGTAATAGATACTCAATAAATGAATGTCATTTTTGAATGAATAAAAGAATCAATCAGTGAATGAATGGCTAAATAAATAAATAAAAATACAATGATATAGAATACTAGGGCATTTACATTCTCCACCTTAAAAAATAAATATACTAGGTAACGTCTATGACAGGATTATTGGAAAATGCAGAAATGGAATAGTTTTGAGTCTTCCCAAATATTCCTCTAAAAACAGGATAGCCAAACCAAAAGATCTCTAGGCTTCTACAAGTATCAGTTATAAACTCCAAATCGTTATGAGCTCTAAAAAACCAGTGAGTGAATAAAAATCACTGATAGCTACAAAATCTGGAAGGTATCTGCAATTATGCAAAGAGAGCAGAAGGCATTCAGGCTTCTGATGGCCCTTAGAGTCCATCTGATCAGAGAATTATGGGAAGCACAGTGAGACAATCTGAGAATAGCAGATAAAACAGAGAGAGGCCAGGAGCAGTGGCTCACGCCTGTAATCCCAGCACTTTGGGAGGCCAAGGCGGGCGGGTTACTAGGTCAGGAGATGGAGACCATCCTGGCTAACACGGTGAAACCCCGTCTCTACTAAAAATACAAAAAAAAAAGTTGCCAGGCGTGGTGGCAGGCGCCTGTAGTCCCAGCTACTAGGGAGGGTGAGGCAGGAGAATGGCGTGAACCCGGGAGGCGGAGCTTGCAGTGAGCCGAGATCGCGCTGCTGCACTCCAGTCTGGGCGACAGAGGGAGACTCCGTCTCAAAAAAAAAAAAAAAAAAAAAAAAACCCACAGAAATTTTGCATATTCAAATTTGTGGGTAAATGCAAAGGGACCATAGTAAAGTCAGAAAATAGGAGACCCTCAACCCTGTAAAATCTCAAAACTAAAAAACCTAGCTCTCTTTTTAGCCAAAGTCCCACACTAGAAAGTAACTCCTGGGAGGGAGTACAATCTAAAGTGACCTGAACAGAAACAGTAAGAACAGAATACAAAAAAGCCAAGATAGATACTTGGGAGAAGTAGAGGAGGAAGCTACTCAAAGTACAAGTCGATCTATTTGTACATAGTGGGACGGTCTAGAGATATAAAGCTACAAAAATATCCTAGGGAAATGTAAAACTAATTTCCTTTAAATGTAAGAAATAGAAAAGAATTTTGGTAGAAGTCCATACAAAATTATTTTGATATAAAGAAACTGAGAAGCAGAATAACATATCTAGAAACCTCAGCTATTTATTTACCTATTGTATACGGCTCCTTTCATGCTACAACAGCAAACGTGCACCAGGCACCATATGTTATGCAAAGCCTGAGATAATTACTATTTGTCCCTTTACCAAAAGGTTTGCCTTCTCAGACTTAGAACACCACCGTAAAAAGCTCCAACTTTTAAACTCTGGGCAGACAAGGCTAGATGGGTAGAAAGTGGGTATAAAAGCAGATTGAGAAAAATCATCGGAACAAGCAGAAGAGAGAGGAAAATATGGAATCACAGAAGCCAAAGAAAAAGAAGTGTTTAAGATGGCAAATGTGAGTGTTTCCAGTTTTGCTAGGTCCATGTAAAAGGCAGACTAAAATGTGCCTGCTGAATTTAGAGATACGGAAATCACTTGCCTGGGAAGCAAATGGTGTGAGAAAATGGAAAGTGTGCACTCTCTCAAGGAGTTTAGCTTTAGAGTATTTCAAAGAGATGGGGCAATAGCTGGAGTAGGCTATGTGGTCATATAAGATAAATAATCATACTTTTGATTTATAAAGATACTATATAGCTTTCTCTTGCTGCACTATTACTTACTATTAATTATAAAATTTGCTAAGACAAATCTTACAAACATATTTTCTTTATTCTCATTATATATATATATACTCTTAAAATCAAATTCTAAGAATTTAGCTTTATGTTACCTATTGTAAACACCTTTCCAATCTAACCAAGACTCTAGTGTAATGCAAATCATTTGATACAAACTGTTGAAAGTATGTTGTTATACAAGTCATGCTGACATTTCTTATTTGGTGCCATTTGAGCAAAATTTAATAAGAAAACTAGGTAGCTGAGTCTTGTGAAAAGGCTCAACTGGCAAAATATGTGTATGTATGCATGCGTGTATGTATGTCAGACCAGTTTTTCACAGAATTTTCAGTGATGCTATTTAACAATATTATACATTTGGGTAAAAAATAACTCTCTATTTTGAAGTAACTAATTCTCAGTTCCAAATCAGCAAGTGTGTCCTGACTATCCTGACTCCGAATATGATTCAAGCATGTAATTACCCTTTAAACATTTGACATTCAAAGTTGCAATGAAAGTATTGCCCCTCTTCTTACAGATTTAAAAAGCTTCATAGTTTGCTAAATGGACTTGTAAAATAAATATTCAGGCTCAGAATCACACAAACTAATAAAAATACACCTGGTGAGTAACAGCTTGTAATTTCAAAAGCAGAAAAGTTAAAAAAAAAAAAAAAAAGAAACCTGCAGTGTATGAATCTCACTAAGGATTTTATTAAACTCAATGAAGAAATCTCCAGGGAAGTAAATACTCATTTTTGAGATTTTTAAGGTCTTTATAAGTCAAAGCAATTTAAAAACTAACAATCAATGTGTTTATACAGGGAGAAAAGAGTATTTAGAAAATGCCATTTCCTTTACAGATCTATGTTTTTCATTTTCTACTGTGGCTCCTTGGGGGGTTAAAAAAAAAACAAAAGGCCAAACCAGAAAAAGCCTACATTATTTCTTTTCTGAAAAGATTGCAATTCATATAAAACTAATTCACAGATGTTACATGGCTTATAAACAAACATGAACTAAATTCGTACTCATTGTCAGCCAATTACTAATTAAGGTGAACTCAACAAATCTGTTTTTAAGGACAATCATTTTACTGATTTAAGTAAAATATTTGCTTCTGACAGTATTTTAATTTTTCTTCTGATAAGGAGCAAGTTTATGGGGACAGTTTTGAGGCAGGAGTAGCACAAGGTGGTTGCAAGAGAATAGAAAATTCCAGGCAGCAGTTTCATGTGACTAGCAAAAGGAAACTGCCGAAATAGCTGCAGAAGCCAGGAGCAGATAAGACCCTGAAAACCAGGGCATGGACCAAGCTGGCTAAGATCTGGTGGACTCAACATAGCACTGTATCTGTCCTGGGTTTCACCTAGGATCTTCCTATATGCTCATTAACATAGTCAATAACATACCTACAAGCGCCATGACAGTTCCAGGAGCACTCATATTTGATGTAAAAATGGGTGGCACCACAGTTCTGAGAAATCACCAGCTTTTTCTAGGAATCTCCATGAATATTCCATCCCTTGGCTAAAGAAACCCATAAAGATAGCAGCCCCAAAGTCCCTTGCACGTGACTCTCTCTCTTGAGTACGCCCACACTCCCTTTTCTTGAGTGTGTACTTTTTCCCTTGCAACAATCTCTGTACTTTTACTATTTTCTGACTTGTCCTTGAATTCCTTCTTGTGACTGTGTCAAGAGCCTGTTCACCAGCTGGGGTAGAGGTCCCACTGGCCTCCCCTTGCCCACCAATATCAGTTTCATTGACACCAATAATCTATGAAAACTATAAGAGTGTTAATCTTTTAAGTAGAATAACAGAAAAAACTATGATTACTGACTTGATTAAATTGTGTTCTATATTTCTCCACTGTACCTTCAGCTTCATACTTTAAGGGACCATACCCCTATTCATCTTGGCATCTCCAGTTTCTTGTCCAGTTGTCTGTCACCTAGTAGGTGTTCAATGAATGTCTATTTGTTTTTCTGAAGTTTACTTACACAATGTAGTTCATTTGTGCTTTTAATCCTAATGCATAGAATATATCCCCATGCATATTAAAGAGCAGGGAAATGTTCATAAGAACAGATCAGATATTCTCTACCATTAGAGAAAAAAAAAATATATATATATATATTCTATTTAATATGCTGCTAAAGGATCTATGAGGTTGTATACTCCTAAGTGATTTGAGGGATAACACCATTTCCCTTTACTTAATAGAGCAACGTTCCCTAAAAGAAAGGTGGGCCCTCATGTAGTAGTTTGTAATATTTTGCCTAGCATCAGAGCAGAACTCTTAATAGAGGAGCTGAAAAGTAATGAAAATTTATGTTATTATTTTAAGAAATTGAACATCCACATTTCGTTAAATGTTGATAAACAGCTAATGGCCAAAAAAAGCAGCATATTCATACTCATCTCTAAAAACAACTAGTTTCTGTATACCATTCTTAAGTGATTAAATTATTAGAGATAAAACAGGGGACCATTAGTTGTTTTTAGGAAATATCAGTAGTAGGTCATTAAAAGATAGTGATTATAAGCCAGGCATGGTGGCTCACGCCTGTAATCCCAGTACTTTGGGAGGCCAAGGCAGGCAGATCACTTGAGGCCAGGAGTTCAAGACCAGCTTAGCCAACATGGTGAAACTTCATCTCCATTAAACATACAAAAATTAGCCAGGCATAGTGAAATGCGTCTGTAGTCGCAGCTACTCAAGAGGCTGAGGCATGAGAGGTTGTGGAATGAGAATTACTTGATCCTGAGAGTCGGAGTTTGCAGTGAGCCAAAATCTCCCCACTGCACTCCAGCCCCAGTGACAGAGTGAGACTCACTCGCAAAAAAATAAAAAATAAAATAAATAAAAAATAGTGATTACAAAGTCAAATTGCCCTAGAAACACAACGTGTATATACATGTACTACAACATAAAATCTGGAAGAAAGAGGATTATAGGTATTATTTCTGTTTTCTCATCAAGCCTGAGAGTGACTTATACAAAATACTTACCAAATATAAATTTAGTCAGCAAGAATAGTTTATCATAAGTTTTAGAAAAAAAAAAGCAGACATCTGTCTATGATGTTTAGCTGTCCAGTATACAAATCATTATATGGACAACAAAATTCCAACACAAAAAGACTCTAAAAATCCTTGCTCAACCATTAACCAGTGAGATAAGGCATGATTCAATCAACAATGGAAACTGGTTGAAAATGATGATAACATATAATAAAATTTAAAAACAGACAAGGTGACCTAATATTACCTTTAAAACTTCTCTACAACCCATTGGGAATGAGTAAGTTGCATTTAACAACATTTAGATGCACAGATAAAATTTTAATCAAATTTACTTTCTCCAGTGACTAGAAAAAAATGTCACTGGTTAATGGAACGTGTGTTTTATAGACAAAGAACTAAACAGCATTTCTTTAGGTAAACTTATGGTTCACAAATGAAGTAATATTATGAAGTCTTTAAAGTTTGGTTGGAGTAAATGAATTATAACCCAGAGTATCCATGAGTAACTGAATAAAATCAAATTTCTAAAACTGCATTGCTAAAGACAAAGTTCTAAATCAAACTGAGTCCACCAAAGCATTGGAACACAAAGTCCAGAATTCTCTATTAGCTGTGTTTCTGGATCATATTTATTTGTGTTTTATTTAGACTTTAGGTAGTGTGGCTGTTTCTGGTAGAAGATGGGGCAGCAAAGAAAAACTGGTTGGTGCCAATTACTGAATATGAAAAGGTTAAATGATAATTCAAAAAGTCAATACCGAAAATCACAAACCACCATTTAAGTTAGTGAGGCAAAAAGAAAAAAAATCTGCAAAACATGCCACACAACTATTTTTTCTTCTGCATTTCCATAATCACTGTACTCTCAAAATGTATATTTTCATATTGCAATAGCCACCTTTAAAGGTCACTCCTTGGACAGGGGAAGTCTGTTCTACCACCTAGGATAAATGCATAAATCAAATATGAAGCAATTGCCACTTTAAAGTTAAATTTTGTTATAAATAACTGCTTGTATGTTATCATCATTTTCCTTCTCTGTCAAATACTGATACTCACTCTTTAAATCATCATAATTTCCCCTATGCTGTCAGCAAAAAGATTTAATACAATGATAAATAAATAAATGGGGAATAGTATGTATTCCTGCCAAGACTTGTATATTTTAGGTAAAGCTTTAAAAACTATTATATATTTTCTTCATTTCTACTTAAACAATACCATCAATTTACTAAAATATAATAGCTACAAAATTTAAAATTCATAAAAGGCAGGATATATAAGATGTAACAAATATATAAATAAGATCTGACTTTAAGAAAAATCAGTCTTTTATGTTAGCAATTTAAATTATATACTTTCTGGAAACTATATTCACCAGTCTAATTGTAATTTTATTTTAGCTAATATAAATTCCATTATAGCAAAAGTCTAATGAGCCTTGATTTCTTCAGGGGAAAAAACTGTGCTGGTAAAACATTGTCCCAACTTATGTTAAAATTGGCAAATATTGTAATTAATAACATCATCTAACATGTAATAAGAATTATTATATCAGAGGTGCACTGGGATGATATTTTTGTGTTATTTCTCCCACTTATCTCTCATAAAAAAGCCTTTTGATCGCTATTCTAACTGGCATGAGATGATATCTCATTGTGGTTTTAATTTGCATTTCCTTAATGACCAGTGATCATGAGCTTTTTCTCACATGTTTGTTGGCCACATAAATATCTTCTTTTGAGAAGCGTCTGTTCATATCCTTTGCCCATTTTTTGATGGGGTTGTTTTTTTCTCATTAATTTGTTTAAGTTCCTTGTAGATTCTGGATATTAGCCCTTTGTCAGATGGATAGATTGCAAAAATTTTCTCCCATTCTGTAGGTTGCCTGCTCACTCTGATGATAGTTTCTTTTGCTGTGCAGAAGCTTTTTAGTTTAATTAGATCCCATTTGTCAGTTTTGGCTTTTGTTGCCATTGCTTTTGGTGTGATCATTAAAAAGTCAGGAAACAATAGATGCTGGACAAGATGTGGAGAAATAGGAATGCTTTTACACTGTTGGTGGGAGTGTAAATTAGTTCAACCATTGTGGAAGACAGTGTGGAGATTCCTCAAGGATCTAGAACCAGAAATACCATTTGACCCAGCAATCCCATTACTGGGTATATACCCAAAGGACTATAAATCATTCTCCTATAAAGACACATGCACACGTATGTTTATTGAAGCCCTATTCACAATAGTGAAGACTTGGAACCAACCCAAATGCCCATCAGTGATAGACTGGATAAAGAAAATGTGGCACATATACACCATGGAACACTATGCAGCCATAAAAAATGATGAGTTCATGTCTTTTGAAGGGACACAGATGAAATTGGAAACCATCATTCTCAGCGAACTAACACAGGAACCGAAAACCAAACACTGCATGTTCTCACTCATAAGTGGGAATTGAACAATGAGAACACATAGACACAGGTGGGGGATGGTGGGCTAGGGGTAGGTTAACAATAGAAGAAATATCTAATGTAGATGACGGGTTGATGGGTTCAGCAAACCACCATGGCACGTGTATACCTATGTAACAAACCTGCATGTTCTGCACATGTATCCCAGAAATTAAAGTATAAGAAAAAAAAAAGCCTTCTGATGTTAGCTACAATTGAGAAAACTGAGGCTCATGGCAGTTAAATCATGAGCTGTTAAGTGAGAGAGCTATGATTCAAACTTTGGAGTTATGATTCGAAAACTTGGTTTTGTTTTATTGAAATACAGCGAAATTGGTTTAGGTGGTCAATATTTTTGGCAAACCACATACAGGACAGTAAGAACAGAGTGTAAGTTACAAGTAGAGAGAATCTGAGAAGGTTCAAAGCAGCATTTTAGCCTCTTTGGGTTAATGGAAATTATATTACATATACCTTCTCAATTTTTAAGGGAAGTATATTTATATCAAAGGCATATATTAAATAATTTTAAAGAATTAGGAAACTATAGCTATTTTGAGAAAAACTAACAAAATATTTTTTTAACTAAGTTGATATTTTAACTAAAACACATTGCTATGTAATAATATAGATGCTACAAACAAGAAAACTAAATATTGGCTAGGTGCAGTGGCTCATGTCTGTAATCCAGAAGTTATGAAGGCTGAGGCGGGAGGATCACTTGTGCCTTGTAGTTCGAGACCAGCCAGGGCAACATAGTGAGACCCCATCTCTACAAAAAATAAAATATATTATCTGGGAACAGTGGAGTGTGCCTGTGATCCCAACTACTGGGGAGGCTGAGGTAGAAGGATTGCTTCAGCCCAGTTACGGACTGCTGTGAGCAGTGATGCTGCCACTGCACTCCAGCCTTTGATGATGATTTAATCATTAAAAGACAGAGGGAACAAAAAAAGTCTGAAAATAATAGTAGGAAGGCAAATTTAGAAATGAAGATTCAAAATAAGGGTAATTGAGAGAAGAAAGTACAATAATAATCAAATTATTATTTGAGCAATAATAATATTATTAGGTAATAATACTTCAACTTACAATTTGTTAACTATTTTCCTTTTGAGTTTTTATAATGAGCCTGAAGCATTACTATTAATAGTATACAGAATTGTTAAAATCAATTCTTCTCATCTAAGAACTTTGGAGACTTTAAGCAATCTAAATTTACAAAGACTAACTTTTTATAAAGACAGAAATTATAAAAGAAAATATTCTCCAAGGCATTTGGCTATCGTTTATATTACAGAAAAACATTTTCAGAAATTGGTCACTATTTCATTAAAACACCTGGGAAAGATAAAAGGAAGTTGTTCTAAACAATTAGAAAACAGCAAACAACTTACAATGGACTGATTTTAAGCACTGTTTTTATTTGAATATGAAACTATTGATTTTTGCCTCTGATGAGATTTGCTTTTTTTTTAAAAAAAATGATTTATTCTATCTTGTATTAGCTTCATATAAAAGAATGAATCTAAATCTTAAAAACAGTATTTTAATATAAACTTCCTAGCTTTTCTGATAGAAATGGTCTTATTGTAAGATTGTTCAGTCATTTGCATGATTTTAAATGAGGAGATTAAGTTTCATATATCTTTTACTGCTTTCACTCCTTTCTGTCACTACAACTAGATACTTAATACTGGCAATTATAATTTGATTGATTGAAAAAAAGGTGACATAATTAGACAACTGAAGGAATTTAGGAACAACAAGAGCATGCGAGGACAAATGAGGAATTTCATTTGTCTGATTTTTGTAATATTAAAAACATTTGGCCAGGCAAGGTGGCTCATGTCTGTAATCCCAGCACTTTGGGAGGCCGAGGCAGACGGATCATGAGGTCAACAGATAGAGACCATCCTGGCCAACATGGTGAAACCCTGTCTCTACTAAAAATACAAAAATTAGCTGGGTGTAGTGGCACGCGCCCGTAGTCCCAGCTACTCGGGAGGTTGAGGCAGGAGAATCGCTTGTACCTGGGAGGCTGAGGTTGCAGTGAGCCAAGATCACACCACTGCACTCCAGCCTGGCAACAGAGTCAGACTCCATCTCAAAAACAAACAAACAACAACAACAAAAAAAACAATCTTCATGCTGAAGAATGCAAGAATTAGACACAAGGTACTTGTGGTTTGGAAACTACATCCCACTGTTTTTCTGCTAGCTCTGCTCCAGCTGTTTGCCCCTTGGCTTAACCACTGAATGCTAAAATGGCAGCTTGCTGTGGTGATATTTAAGTCTTATCTCCCTGCAAAAAAGGCCTGAAGTTTTCCTTATCAGTGTAAGAATATGTTGTTCCCGACAACTAAGCCTAATTTTAATAAGCTCCTAAGGTATCTTTATAAAGTAAGAAAACAGTCCCATCTTTAAGGAATTCAGACAAAAAGATTAAAACAGTTCTAACTCATTCTCAGAATTTCTCCCCAATTTTGTCCCAGCCTGGAATGTTCTTCCCCTAGTCTCATAAATATATGTTTTTTTTCACTTGGTTATGTTGAGCTCTTATGACTTTGAACACTACAAATGATATTTAGAATTGTTAGTCATATATGGAAAGAGATGGAAATATGTTCCATCTCTTCACCTAGGTTTTCAACTTCATGTACACAGGATATGCTATTCAAATAGTGACATCTTTAGCTTAATACTATATACAGAATTAATTTCATGGTTATATGCCTATAATTATTATTACTGGCATTTTATAGTGATTTTTTTCAGATATGCCTTTCTTCTCAATTCTTCCACAAACTTTTAGGAAATCTTCGTACTTTTCAGGTCTACTATCATTTATAGTTTGGAGTATCATGAAAATCATCTTTCCAGATGATGAAACTGACCTGCTCAAGGTTAAATGGCTAATATGAGTAGAACCAACTGTGGAACTTCAAGTTCTTAAATCACAGAACTTTGATATTCTATTTTACTTCTAAATACTACTAAAAATGATAACAAAACTGTATTCTCAAATCCCATGCTATTTGTGATTATATTAATATCATATAAACACTGTACATTTGTGCTTATGTAGTACAGGTAAAAGAAGCTGTGAAAATATTATCCTTTATTTGCCAAGTAATCAGTTCTAATTATATGAGGATGACCTTGAAATGGAATAAAGGCTGGTACCAGAGAGGAAAGCAAGAGCCCAGTTAATTCAATTATGTGTGAAGTCACAATACAAATAGAAACAAATTTAAATTGGTGATGAGTTGTCTATTATACTGACATTTTGGGCACTGGACTGATATGTGTCTGGTTTCCAGCTATGTCCATCATCACCATATAAACTTGAACCATTTACTCAATTTCTCCTTTTCTTAATTAGTAAAACAAATATATTCATTATTTCTGTTCTAAGAATTATTGAGTAAATTCTTAATGCATTTAATACTGAACCTGGCTTAAAATAACAGTCAATAATCATTTGATTCTGCCATTCTTAACCTCAAACCAATATATTCCTACCTGAAGATTCTTTTAATGTCCCTAATCTAATGACAGGATGACCATAGAGGTAGGAGCAGGGGTAAAGAGGGGGGTAAATGATTATGGGATTTAAAATCAGAGTACATTAAAATGAGCAGCCAATAGTATCATAGAGGTTGTAGAAAAACCACTCTAAGAGACTTAATTTAAGTCAATAGAAGAAAATCATTCAATTCATATTTAATCAATGCCAACTATGAAACAGGTACTATGTTATGCATAGAGAATTTAAGTCATAATTTCAACAAAAAATATTTTCTTATTAAGGAATATTTATAAACAGAAATTATAATATGCCTGTTAAGTTCTGTAATGGAGCATAAAAGAAAGGAGTGTAAGGAAAGTCTTCATGGAAGTCACAGTCTTCTGAGACCATGAAGTCACAGAAAGTCTTCACAGAAGAATTCTTAACAGAAGTGATGATTTTATGCTGGGTCTTAGAGTTTACTGGCCATGTAGAATAGAACCCATTTCCTAAAGAGGGAAAAACTTGGGCTTGAAGTTGAGGCGATGGTCAGTGGAGCCATGTGGAGATATCTTAGCAGAAGAATAACAGAGCCAAACCAGATTTCAGTAGATAACTGATACCAGTATAGATCATGGACTCCTAAAGGTTAAGAGAAGTGCCAGACAGCTCAGTTAGAAGATTGTTCAACAATGTGGGAGGAAAATGATAAATATGTGACCTAAAGCTGTGACACATAACAGCTCTGATTAGAAGAGAAATATTCTATAACAGAACCTACAAAATGTAGTGACTTACAGACTGAGGTGTGGGAATAAGAGTCCTATATTACATTGAAATTTTTAGCTTCAGAGATTCATTAGATGATGATATTATTAACCACAAATGAGAATACAGGAGGAAGCAGAAATTTATGGAATTGAGTCTAAAATCAGTTTAGATTTGTCCATGCAGGACATCAGATATAAAGTTCTGAAACTCAATGACAGAAATCAGACCAGATTTTGGAGTTTTCACTAGAGAGCATTTAAATTAAAATAACCAGGTAATCCAGGCAGAGTGGTTAGAGAGTAGACAAATGTGACGTCTGTTACAAACAACAAACATTTACAGAGTGAAATGAGAAAACAGATCAATGAAGAAAACTGAACAGGAGTGACCAGTTTGGCCTGGCATTCTGAACAGGAGAAAATTTCAAGAAACAGGGAGTGGTTTCTATTTCAAATGGCTATCTTGACCAGTATTCTCTTAGGCTTATATTAATGTCCCCTGTTTCAGAAAGGCCTGGAACTCATATGTGAAAAGAAAAATCCTACTTGCAGGAGAAAACATAAAGAAAATAAGTCAGTAGTTTTATTTATGATATTCTGGGGCAAAAAGAAAGAAAGAAAAGAATGCTCAGTCTAAAAAAAAAAATCCTGCAGTGTTTCTATCTCTAACCTGAAGAGAGGAATCAGTTTCCATCTATTTGCTTTTCATGACTACAATTTAATTTTATAGTTACCATTTTCTTTTTCTTGCTATGAGCCATTCATACATTGCGCTCTCCAGTGGACAGTTATATTTCAGAGGACTTATTCTCTTCTTGAGGGTAAAAAGCTTGTGGGTGGTCAATGACAAGGGTGAAAATGCAGGTAAATGTGTATTCTTTCATCACATGAATTGTGCCAAATTCCCTTTTGTATTATATTTGTTCTGTAAATTCTTAAATCTCAATGCTTACTCTACCTACCCTTTCCGACAAACAAATGCACTGTCATAACCACATTCATCACAATTGGTCCTTTTGTCCTTCTTTACTTTTTCCTTACTAATTGGTTAGGTTAAGGGTTTTTTCACTAAAGGATATTTTTAAGTCTGTTATTGGCATATGCATACATTTGATATATGTTAGGCATTGATAGTATAGATTGGGAACTTAAGAGAAGCACAAGAATTATATTCTGCTTAAAGCAAAGAGAATCAGAAAGCAAATTGAGTGTTTATTTTTCAACCTCAATTTAATAAAAAAAGAATCAACTCCTAGAATGCGTATTAGATTTTTTAAAATGAAAGTGTCAAGGATTACAAGTAATTATGCTACATCTAGCTTGGATGTTTCATATTCCTCTTCCCACTGCAAGGTATTATAAAAATTTAAACACACATTTTACTCACTTATCTATTATTTATTTACTACAAGATGGGGTCTCACTCCGTTGTCCAGGCTGACCTCAAATTCCTGTGCTCAAGCCATCCTCCTGCCATCCTGCCCCAGCCTCCTGAGTCCCTGGGACATGCCACTGCTCCAGGTTTCACATATCTATTTTAACAAACATTGCCTAAATTTGCATCACATGTTTCTTCCTTCCTTTGCGCACAATTGTTTTTTTAAGACATAGTATACAAGTACCTTTCATAAAAGAACTTTGCACATTTGATCCACCATTAAGTAGTAAGGTTTTCTTTTAATGTTAAAATAATGCTGATGAATATCTGATTAATTCATTCATATGTAAGAAAAAAGTCTACTAAACATTGTGAATTCCACCATAAGCAAGACATAGTCCTGAAGGAACTTGGAATTTAGTGAAGAAAGCCAACAAGAAACTGAAACTACATGCTTAAACACAATGTTAGTAAAAGCAACAAAGAATCAGTCAACTGAGGTTCTGATGACATTAACATCCACAAACCATTTTCAGGTGACAGCAGATTCCATGCTCCCTATATAATTTAAAACTAATTTATGGATACAAATTCCATTATGAAAAAGAATATCTATTTTCTTAGTATTTTTCAAATAATAATTAAAATTATAAAATGATTATAATTGCTATATATACACAGGTTATATACAATTATAAATTTCATATCATATATAATTATATTAGAATAATAATTATGATACAAACACTAAAAACAACTACAGAAATAAAAGCTGCCATTTATTAAAAGCTTATTTTTTGTCCAGCACTGTTATCATAGGTTACCTCATATGATATCACTTTAATCTATAAGTACTATTAAATATATTCATCTTACATATTAGGTAAATGGAGCTTTGGGAGGCTTAAATTGTTAATATGTGGTGGCACACAAATTTATATCCAAGAGAGTATAATTTCAAAGTTCATGTTGTAACCACTGTACTACACATTTTTAAACCAATCAATGTAGTTTTCACTTCAAAGAAAACCGTGTTTTTGAATAGTGTAAGAGTTAAGATTATTTAAGTTTTTTTCTGAATCTGTTAGTCATTGGTAGAACAGAGATGTTCTGAGATAATTAAATGTTAATGAAATGTAAATGATCTTTTGCTTCCAAAGTATTAGTCCAAGAGTTACAACTCCTCAGTATCTGGTAGAATTTAATAAAAGTGCCATCAATCAATATTTTAAATCTATTCTGGCAAAACCAAAAGTAAGTATTAAGCATCATAATTACTATTAGTGGAGTTACATTATTTTTCTCAATGTTATTTAATAAAATCAGCCTCTGTTTTAGAAATAAAAAAATTGTAATAAGCAGTTCATACTATAATGTATTAATACCAATTCAAAAATATTTAATTAATAAACTGACAATACTTTGGAAACATCTCATTGTTTTTATTCTTCCCTATGTAACACTTGTTTTTGGGATGCAGCTTATATACATAACAAATGCCGAGTTTCAACTGTATCAGCTAGATCAAATTTTAAGAAGCTTAAATTATTAGAATAATATAAATTGTCACTCAACTGTATCATTTCATTTTTTCTGGGAAAACATTTATAATAGCAACATTAAAATTTATTTACTTATATTATTTCTCATTCTTCATTACTGTAAGCTTCATGAGAGAGGAGGCTTTAGCTGTTTTTTAATAAAAAACTATATTATTCAGAGGTAGAAGAATATCTGGCACATAGAAGGCAGAATGAATGAATGAATGAATAAATGAATGAATGAATGGAGATTTTAGAAGTTATGGCGAAAGTTAAACTACAATCCAAAAAAAATTAATGCTAAATTTACAAATGAATATATAAAAATCTTTCAATGCAAATTTAAAGTACAAATTCTGTCCATACTCCAAGCAAATATTTCATGTAATAATTCTACTTATCATCCTATGTTAAGTAGAAAGATATAGTATTTATTGGAAACAAATTTGCTCTTTTCAGCCCAAATACTGTCTGCTACACAAACATGCTGGAAGTCTAATATCATGAAATGTGTAAATAGAAACAGTCCTATCTATGTATCTTTATATGGATATCTATAGGATAACTATCCTATCTATATATCCTTATATAAAGATATATATTTAGCCTTTATAAGATTAAAATATAAGTAAGATATTAATAATGCATAGATGATTTTCACATGGCAAATTATAATGTCTAGAAATGTAACCAACTTTGAAAAGTTTGAGATGATATTTTCTATCCTAATACCTCAAATCAAGACAAAGCCACAGATTCATTAATATTTTCTGCTCAGAACTTATTATAGTCACTGTATTATTACCAACTGAAAGGTGCTTCACCCTCCTAAGTATATGGACACTTAAGTGGAAGCACTCACTGATCATTATGGACACTTATTTGAGTTCATGACAGTTATCATGTAGTTAATGGACTAGTTATGAAACTGTGCTATTACAAAAGATGTTTAAAACTCTATTGTTAATATCCTAGTAGAAAATAATGGATTTCATATTTTTATGTGATGAAGTTTAAATGTCAAGACTTGTTTTCAACTGTACATTTCAAACACCTACTCTCTAGTCTCTATTAATAAATTACACACTCAGTTCTTAGGAACAAGCTGTTGGAAGTAAGTACCAAAGCTCTTCATAGATCCAGATCAGGGCTGAAATTAAGCTTTTATCCATTAGGAGGTAAAACCAAATTGGTGGCACCTCTGTGGAAAAATTTATTTTAAAATTTGTTTTAGTTACATGAGTTAGCCTATTTAAAAGATTTAAAACCATATCATTCCAACTAACTCTGGAAAACAAGGATAGTCAATTATAATTTAATTTATACATCACAGAAGTAATTTACAAATTAAGCAGTGTTTAAAACTACTTCCCTTATTCATATTATGTTTTTTTTAATGCTTGCTTTCTATCACTATTCTAGGAAGATGTTGACTTCCACAAGTATTTATAATTTGTAACAGACAACCTGGTGTCATGAAAAATGCATGGTTTTGGAGTGAGGCAAAAATCAAAGCCAGGATGATTAATCTGATTCTCAGATCCTGATTCAAAATATTATAATACCCACCTCACAGAATTATTATAATCTAAGTGGGATAACACAAGTGCGAGCTTAGTCCTAACATTGGATTCCTTTGCTGACTTCTTCTCTAACTAGCCTTCTCTGAATGTGTAAGTTTTACAAGGTTTAGTCGTTTCTTCTTTCTAGTCCCTCAATGCACTCTTAGCTTAAATGATATCATGATTACATAACTTTAAATCTAGTTGCAGAGGGCTCCCAAATGTATGCCTCTGGATCACACCAGTTTAAATCTGTATATTCAACCTGCTGACACTTCCACTTGAATATTTCATGTGTAAAACTAAATTATTGGTCAACATCCTTAACTCATTCTGTTCATAGAATTTTTTTTCTGTGGCAGTTTGTGGCACCAACACCTATCTACTTATGTGAGTCAGATACACGAGAGTCACTGTGACCTTTCAATCCAAGCTATTCATAAAATCTATAATCAAGTCCTGTTATTTATACCTTTTAAACAGATTTGCAACCACACTACAGATGGTCCCCGACTTACGATGGTTTGACTTAAGATTTTTCTATATAATATAAAGCAAAAACAATACACACTCAGTAGAAGTCGTACTTCAAGTACCTATACAACATTCTGTTTTTCAATTTCAGTTCAGTATTCAATAAATTACATGAGATACTCAAACTTTATTATAAAATAGGCTTCGTGTTAGATGATTTTGCTAACTGTAAACTAATATAAGTGTCTGAGCACATTTAAGGTAGGCTAGGCTAAGCTATGATGTTTGGCAGGTTAGGTGGATTAAATGTATTTTCGAATTAGGATACTTTCAATTTATGGTGGCTTTATGGGATGTAACCCCATCGTAAGTTGAGAAGCATCTGTAATCAAAGCCACCATATAAACTACCAAATAACTTTGTATCTCCCCACTCCATTTGTGCAATTGCCTCTACAATGTGTGCCATTTTCAAAGCAAAATCCACCTCATAAAAGTATTATAATCTCCCTGTTCCAAAAGCACACCACTTCAAAGATTCCCCATTTTGCCTAAAATAAAAGATTCTATAACATGAACTAAAGGCATAGCATGATCGTTCAGCGGCCAAAAATTCTAATGGATATCCAAAACCTCTTTGACCTTGCGCTCTACACTCCGTCCCGGGAGACTGAACTGAATGGGTTAATCAGTGGGCTCTCATACCCTTTCCCTTTGTGTTTAGGCAATAGATGATCAGCCTCATTAGGAGATGAAAGGGCAGAAGGTAAAGCAGGGTCAGGAATCTATTTTCCTGTTTCCCTTTATTTGGATTTGCTCTAGCTGAGTGTGACCCTCAACTGAAGAGATTCATAAGGCTCTCATAAGGAAGTCTGCCCTCTATAACCCTCTCCTTCTCAGCTCCAACAACTTGCTTCTCCTTCAGGCCCTGGGGTAGTACATACTAGCTCTTCTAACGCTCACCCCAAGTTTCTACACCATCCCTTAAATAATGCCTGTATCCAGCTTTCTTTATAAATGAATCCCCATAAAATATTTTACTTTTTGGTATGTCATCTGTTTCCTGTTTGGATTCAAGTGAAAGACAAAATAAGGGCACCCTTTCTATAAGCTCCAGAAATCCTGTTCTTCTTAAATACTATTTCTTCTGCTAGGAACTCTTCTCTTATTCATGACCTGGCTGCCTCCTTCTCATCATTGTTCAAGTCTTAAATACCAATTCCTCAAAAAGGGCCTACCCACACAGTCCAAAGAAGGGCGTGTTATAATACCTCATTCTTTTTGTTCTTAGTACTTACAATATTGCAATTGCACGTGCAAATTATATTTCTGTTTCTCTCACTTGATTCCAGGCTTCATGAAGCCATTTCTGTTTTATTAAATGTAAAACAGAGCATTTGACACTGTAGGTGCCTGCTAAATATTTATTAAGAGAAAAGATCAATAAGAGTCCTTTCTTTCACCATCATTTACTACAAAATATTTACCAGCTATGTACCCTATAGAGACAGTATAGTTAAAGGTATAGTCTCTGCAGTGTGACCCTAGGGTTTGAATCCTAGTTCTGACATATAACAATTTGTGACCTTAACCAAGTTACTCACTCTATGTCTCAGTTTTCTCCTCTATTTATATAAGGGTGGGGGAAGATAATAATAGAACCTATCACATGTACTTGATATGTGACTTGAACAAGTTAACATCTGTATAGTGCTTAGATTTACAGGCCTAGAATAAGTGCTATGTAAGTATTATCATTATTACTATCATGTCATGTGAACAATACAGAAGACAATGAAGACACAATCAAAACTAAATTTAAGAAGATTTCCCAGTGGAGAGAATAAAGGCTTAAATAAAAATAATTTCAATATCACTAGGGCACCACTAAACCAGTAACCTGCTCTTTCTGATAATACATAAAAATAAAAGTTATGCAAAAGCTTCAAAAGTTGCCCAATGTACTAAGAAAATATCAATGATTCATTATGTGGGGCATGTAAAACTTGTGAACCATCACAAGCTAGGCAAGACAGTATTTATGAAGTGGAAACTGACTGCACTAAGACCAAAAACTATAATCAACAAGAATTTTAAATGTCATTGCATAGAACAGACATTTTTAAAATTTTATACTTGTATTTACCTCTTTTGTAGTGTGGATATAGAAATAACTATTAATTGTATACATGGAAATTAACTATGTGGCCGGTTGCGGTGGCTCAGGCCTGTAATCCCAGCACTTTGGGAGGCCAAGGCAGGCAGATCACAAGGTCAGGAGTTCGAGACCAGCCTGACCAACATGGTGAAACCCCATCTCTACAAAAAATACAAAAATCAGCCGGGCATGATGGCACATGCCTGTAGTCCCAGCTACTCAGGAGGCTGAAGCAGGAAAATCGCTTGAACCTGAGAGGCAGAGGTTGCAGTGAACCAAGAGCACGCCACTGCACTCCAGGAACAAGACTCCATCTCAAAAAAAAAAAAAGTAATTAACTATGTAATAATGTAATATAGAGATTAACTATGAATTATATATTCATACACCTATATGTAATCATATATATTATTATAAAGGTTTAAAATATTTTCTTTTTTTTTATTTTTGCAACGGCGTCTCCTCTGTCACCCAGGTTGGAGTACAGTGGCACGATCCCAGCTCACTGTAACCTCCGCCTCCTGCGTTCAAGTGATTCTCCTGCCTCAGCCTCCCAAACAGCAGAGATTACCGGCACCTGCCACCATGCCCAGCTAATTTTTGTATTTTTAGTAGAGATGGGGTTTCACTATGTTGGCCAGGCTGGTCTCAAACTCCTAACCTCAGGTGATCCACCCACCTTGGCCTCCCAAAGTGCTGAGATTTACAGATGTGAGCCACTGTGTCTGGCCTAAAATGTTTTCTAAACTGTATCTTCATAGCATTCTATAGCTATAATCTATTAAAATTGTCCTATGAACTATATCATTTTACATCTATAGTCTATAATTATTTAAAGAAATACACCACAGAAAATGATGTATGATTAATTCCATCTAAAATAAATATCAAAGGCAATGCACTGATAAAATTTATCTTTAATCACTGAAAATAATTATAAAATTGTATTAGAAAATATATAGGTCATTTTAGTAATCATTCATCCAGAGCTTAATCTCGTCAAATTCAAGAGTTATGAAAGAATTCATTATCTAAGAATCCCCAATTTCCTGCTGAATTTCTAAAACCATTTCATTCTCTCCTCTGAAATTTCAGATCAGTTATCTGCAATATCTCAACTTCTCCTTTGTAAATGTTCTTCTCCATGAGCTCTAGCTGAAATCTGGCTCCTGCTTGAAGTCACAGCTTCTCCCACGATTCTCTCAAATGGCAGCTGTTTTCTCTCCGATCCCCCTATTCTCCTTGCACTTGTAGGCAGCATAGATTTTCTTCAGGCTGCTTCTTTATTTTTCAGATTATTCTGCCTCCTACCTCTGTAATCCACCCACAGCTTTGAAACTCGTAACATCAGATCACACCAACCGCTCCTCATCTTTGTAGTTGTCCATCATGTCCCTCACACCTTCTCAATTTTTAAAAATTTTGTTTCCTGATTTATTCAAATTCTCTCTCATACCTCCCCCGTTCTTAAGCCCAGTCTCCTAGAATTATGAACTCTTCATCTACCCAATTTCAGCCATTATTTCCCATAGTCATACACTCTTCATTCATCTTTCAACAAAGATTTCAGCAAAGATCCATTGTGCAGCTTCTCTGAATCAATCAAGCACTGAGAATGCAGCAGATGGGGAGGAGGGACAAAAATACCTGCCCTAACATATTCTGCATTCTAATCGAGAGAAAAAGACAAAATACTATGAAATCAGTAAAATTTGGATCTTGTTTTCATAACTGCAACTCATGCAAATACTGCAATTTCAGACATTCCAGTGTTGACATGCTCATTATCAGAGGTTCCAGATTGCAATAATTTTTCTACCTTGAAGAGAGCTACAATTCATTGATGAAATCAGTTGTTTCAGTGGTTCTTACCTATTACCTGTCTTCCTTCCCTCTTTGCACAGCATAAATTCCATGGTACATCACCATACCGCTTTATTCATACATCCTCAATTTCTTTGGCCTAACCATCCTGTTAAAATGCAGTACTATTTATACTCCATGTGTGTACCTACGCAACTGAACATGATGGAAGAAAAACATAAAACCATGCTAAGTAGACTTCCCTTACATTCATGCCCTTTAACCTCAAGTGAGTCTTATGTTTTGCTGGGCAAGTTTACAAGTTTACTTCATGTCCCTAGTCCACACATTCTGCCACACTCCTCTACCAGTTACCCACAAGCGGCTTTGCTTGTGAATCTTCTAAAATAATTATAAAAAATTCTATAACTTCAACATTTGTTAATATGAAATCAATGAATTTTACCATAAATTCAATAATTATAAATGATTTAATTTCTGATAAATAAATGTGTTATTTGTCCAGAAGAAGACATGTTTTACTTACACAAATTATTTTTGTGACCATTAAGCTTTAAGTATTGTTTCCTACTATAATGACTTATTGCAATTATTAGCAGTTTACAGTTAATCAAAATAGATAAACATATTCTAAATATGATTAGATCAGTAATTATTCTAAATGTGATTGGATTAGTAATTATCAAGTACAAAGGTATCATTTTATTGGAATATATCACAGTGTAAGATACAAACATATTTTCAGTTATTTTTCTGATTCACATTTGAATTATTGCTAAAATTAACATAGGTTCATGTCATTTCTATCCTCATTATCCATCTTACAGACATAAGAATAAGAAAGTAGAAGAGAATGGAAGGAGTCTTGTTATAGGCATGTCTGTCAGTCTGTTGAACTACTAAGAATGCCAAAAATCACATAACAATAAATCATCAAATGTAATACCTAGTTATCTAACACATGTTATATTGATTAAGCCCTTCCTCAGTATTGATAAAATCAAAGAATTTATAAACCATTTGATTTTCAAAAGGATTTGTTCCTGATACTGTTTTTTTCTTTTTTTTTTTTGCTTGGAATTCAAGAAATTTTACCAACCAGAGACAAGGCACCATAGTAGAACCCAGAAAAGGAGTGGGGTATGGAGTAGAGACAGTGAAAGGAGAGGTGGGAAAGAAAAGCCTATATTGCATCTCCATTCTCAGGCAGATCAGTTTTAGAGATGACATCATGAAGAAGAGGATTTTGAAAGTGAACTTTAAAAAATGATCTGTGACCACATATCTACGGAAAAATATGTATGTTGCCCAGTTTGCCGACCTTGTCCTGGACCACTGGGTATTCATTTTTTCTCTCTTCTCAAACCTCCAGTACCTCTTATCTCATCCTCACTCTCAGCTGATGACCTTGCTTTCTGTTTCACAGAAAATAGAACAAACAAAACTTTCTCAAACCCACCACCACATATTCATACCTACAAGGATGTTATCATATATTTGCTTACCTCTTTGTCTGGGTTCTTTGTGGTTAAGCCATCCCCTCTAAAGGTTAACTAGATTACCTCCCCTTATACCTATTTGAGAAATTCCTCTCTCATCAATTATTTTCTTTCTGCCTCCCATACCATCATTTTGTTCTCTTTACACGTTATTACTTGAAGCACATACTCTGCTTTCTCCTCAGATTGTATAAATCTTTCATCTTTTATTATCTGCAGAGCATCCAAACAGGAGCTCTATATCACCTATCTTTAGAAAAATTCCTGAACCTGAATTATCTCTCAAGATACTGCCTCATTTATCTATTCCACTTTACAACAAAACTGGTTGAGGGTTTCCTATATGCACCAACTCTAACTCCTTTTAGTCTATTGTCTCTGAACTCATTCGAATAGCACTTGAATCTTCACCAACGTAAAGCTGTGTTGAAGTTACCAAGGATTTTTATCTTCTTTCTTTTTTTGAGATGGAGTCTTGCTCTATCACCAGGTTGGAGTGCAGTGGTGCAATCTCGGCTCACCGCAACCTCCACCTCCCGGGTTCACACAATTCTCCTGCCTCAGCCTCCCGAGTAGCTGGGACTACAGGTGTGTGCCACCACGCCCGGCTAGTTTTTGTATTTTTAGTAGAGACGGGGTTTCACCATGTTGGCCAGGATGGTCTCAATCTCTTGACCTCATGATCTGCTTGCCGTGGCCTCCCAAAGTGGTGAGATTACAGGCATGAGCCACTGCACCCAGACTGATTTCTAGCTTCATCTTACTCTATCTCTCAGTAACATTTGAGTTGGTTGATTACTCCCTTGTGGTAGAAACACTTTCCTGCTAACAGTTTCCAATTCCATCTCATTGGCAACTCCCTTCCAGTCTCTTTGCTGGTTTTTCCTCATCTCCCTAATCTTTTCATATTAGAATGAGTTAGGATGTGCTCATTGGGCCACAATGGCTCACAGACTCCTTCCCCTGCATCAACTTCCTTGTCCATGTGGTCATCGGAGGTCTGGGCCAGGACCCTGCTACTGTGACTCATCATCAACTCTTACTGAGCACCACGAAGGCCCAGAGTCTTTTTCTACTGCTGGGCCTATCCTTTGCTCTATGATCTCTCTGGAGATATCACTACAACTTCAATTATAACACTAGCTATGAGATGTCATCAGTGAGCAGGTGTTTATGGCTGCTCATGGCAGCAGCACACAGCTCAAGCTCTTAATCTGCTATATTTCCCCAAATCTTCTTCTCCTCATTGTTGCAATAGGAATGTTCCAAAGCATGAAAGAAAGATAACATTTGATTGCAATAGTGTCATGGAAAAGCTGGAAAAGACAACGTTGAAGTCCAGGACTTGCCTAGTTATAACTTCTCATTTCTTTGTCTCATATGTGATTAAGCCAGTTGAAATGTATGTTCCAAGGGTTTATTTTTAAGATAAGACATAAAAAAAATTAATGTTATAGTTTCTACTTTAATTCTCACTTGTTTTTGTAATGGTAACTTGAAAGACAATGCCAATTATTACATTTCAAAAAGTTCACTAAAGAATTCACCTTAGAAAACAAAAATACTTGCGTATTTTGGCTATTTAGAAACCATTTAATACCTTTATTGATCTCAGTCTCATTTCAGCGAAGGTTAAAAAGCAATAAATACCTAAAAGAATAGAGTTTTAAAATGCATGACGTTATTGGTAATGGAATATTTTTCTGCATATTATAGGATATATTTATTCCATTTCATTTATTTTTGCCTGCATTTGTCCTTTAAGAATTCTTTCAATATCATATCTTATGTTCCAATGTGAATGAGCACATCTAAGGAGAAATGTTAAAGTTCTAGCACACTGTGAGATTAATAAACCATGAAAATCTGACATTACTACAGATATAGGGCATTAATTGCTTTTAGACACAGATTTAATCACTATGTCCCATAAAAATTTAGTTATGATTTTTGAGATAGCAAAACAATTGGTTAGATAAAATTGTTTCTATATTCATTGAATATGTTAATATTCATAACCCAAATATTTAGTTCTATAAAGCACGTTTTAAATATTCAAGTATGCTAATCAATGTGCTAGCCCACCCAGCTATGAGCAGTGAAGGTGACATGAGTAAACCCAATATACATCTAACCATCATTCTGCTGTAATTCAGGATGCAACTGGAACTAATAAATGAGGGGAAAAAATCAGGAAATAATTGTGATAATAACGTTCAAGCACAATGATCCAGAAATCAGCTGACAGGAAGAAGGCAGAATGAAAAGGTTAATCTCTAAAATTGTTCTAAGTCAAGGGTTTACACTTTCAGGTTAAAGATGGTACTTGGCTTAAGGAAATTGCATTTCACATAGTTATAAAAAAAATGATTGCAATTGTAGTGGTAGAAAATATGACTCAATTCCTTGTTTTAATCAGTATAACTGTCTTATTCTTACATGTAGATGGCAAACGACTTAGCAAATTTCAGAAAGTTCTTTTATAGGATATGGAACAATGCATCACTCTTATTATTCTTTGTTTTTTATTACACTTCCCAGGTGCTGTAGACAAAGTCTCCTGGAATATTATTCTTTAACAGAAGAATCCTTGCACTTCATATGTCTAAACCTTCTAAAAAGGAAGTGTGAAGTAAAACTTGGCCTTCTGCTTAGATATTAAATGAAACAATTACCTACTTTATGCTATAAAAAACGCTCTTTTTGCACACAAACACATCCACATACTCATTGACACACATATGTGAAAATACACAATAGCAAAAACGTATTAATTCCCAAACTCTTCTATGATTGCGATTTCCACCTGAGACTGAATCTTTTAATTTATTAAATGGGTGTGTGTGATTTATTTATTTACACACACATATTAGCTTAACAAAATATCTTAAAATTCAAAGTTTCCTAAAAAAGAAATATATTAAAACAATATATGCTAATCCTATTTTAGTAAGGTTGTTTAGCAAATGTCAAGAAATCAGATACCCCAAATTTAGTTATAGTATTTGAGATAAGACAATCAACCTTTAAGATAAAGTTATTTCTATTGTCAATGAGCTTAAGTGCTTAATTATGTTAAAATCAGCATTATGTTTTAAATAAAAAAGATATTAATTATACTATAATTAAGCTAGATCACCCGGTTACCAGTAATGAAACTTCAACAGTCTCCATTACATCTGATACTGTAGTGGAACTAATTCATGAAGGAGGCAATAAAATTACTTGACAGCAATACCCAAATGTTCCCTAAATGTCTCATCACTATACTAAAGCTCGGAATTAATGATTTTCAATAGGAGGACATATGGAATCACTTAGAGTTTGCTCCTTTCTTGAGGGAGGTTAGGCCCAAATGCTATAACGCTGAGAAAGATTGGAGGATTCCTATGTAGAGAAAAATTTAAATGATTCCAAATGTAGCGGGGAAGAAACCTCATGTGAGCAAGATAACAAGTTTGTTTCATCTAGAAACAAACTGAACAAGTCTGTGAGGTCTAAATGAAAAAAAATCCAGAAAAAGGACAACTTTAATTTTAATAAACCAGATTGTTGAAGGACATTCAAGGTGAGATAAATGAATGTATAGATAAATAGACCAAACTAACCAAATTTTATTCCTCCTTTATTAGATTTTATGAACAACTTCATTCTTATACTCACTGTATACCCAACGTAACTGCTTTTCTGAGAGGCAATTTTCAGTACAATTTTTCCAAAATCCTAAAAATTCTTGTGCATCCATTACTTTCCCAGTCATCCAACCAAAAGATAAACAATTAAATATATTTAACCTAAAACCACACAATGAAACCAGATTCACACATGAATTAACATTTCAGCCCTAAGGTATTTCTATATAAGCACACTACATTATCGGTTACATTTATGAAAATTCTTCATTTTCAGAGTTCTTTTATGTTCATGCTTACTAATATTATATCCATATAAAATATAAAATATCTATATAAAATAAAATTGAATCTTCTCACTGAGTTGTCAAATGTTTGTTAGAAAATGGAAATCATCTTTTAAAAGCAGATTTTCTGTAGAAATGAAAGCTAGCACAACTAAAAAAGAATTCAAAGTAATCATCGAAATTAGCCTTTACATTTGCTCCTGGCATTCACAATTTAGAGGCCCTGAAGAGAAGTGGCCAGATGAGGAACAGTCCTACCTTGATTAAAAAAGAATGGTAATGGATATACATAAAATCATACCTTTATCTCTTTCTCTCCAATATTCCATACTGAATAACTGCTGTATAGCTTAAATTGACCATTATAGACTATAAAATGTATGAAATGATTGTATTTTTGTCTTTTTCTACCTCTATATATGATACATATATATATATTTCTATCTCTATCTCAATTTCTCTTGTCCAGAAAGAATGTAGCAATTTTTCATGTAAGAAAAATAAACTATAAAAATCACAGAGATTAACTGTCACAGTTTGAAATTTAATAGTTGTATGTTTTTTTCAAATAATGTTTAGACGGTATAAAGTCCTCTATCATTCTTTATTATTTTCTCCTTTCTCTCTTACAAGCCTCTTATTGTTTTTTTTTTTGCATTTTTCAGGGACAAAGGAAGGGCAGTAAGGAATAATGGCACAACTTTCAACATGTCTATTTTTTTTTAAGCTTTGTTCTGAGCCATTATGACTTTATTGCGGATGCAGGAAAGAAGTAATCACTGCTGTTTTAGCAAATAGCAATCAGTGTTAAGAACAAAACTAGTGTGTTCTTTCATGCTTGGATTTTATTTCTGTGTACAAAACCACATTCCTTTATGCTTCATTTAATTCTTCAGTTTTCCTTGTTAGTTGTCAAAATTTTGAATAAAAGATAGTAAACGTATGCAATAACTAGTTAAAGATTTTATTTGAGACAAGAGAACTGAAACGAGAGTGCGTCAACCAAATCTATTCATTTATTTTTTAGGAACAGAACCAAATTATTGGCATACAAGCTTAAAAAGAATACCTGATGTCCAAAATGAAAAGCAATGTGAGTGAAATATAGAATGTAGCATAGAACCTATTATTTAGTTTAACAATGTTTAACAATTCTTGTTATTTTTGAAAGTTATTTATTTATTTTTTTTTTTTTTGGACACGGAGTCTCACTCTGTCATCCAGGTTGGAGTGCAATGGCACAATTTTGGCTCAATGTGACCTCCGCCTCCCAGGTTCAAGCCATTCTCCTGACTCAGCCTCCTGAATAGCTGGGACTACAGGCACACACTACCATGCCTGGCTAATTTTTTGTATTTTTTAGTAGAGACAGGGTTTCATCATGTTGCCTAGGCTGGTCTCGAACTCCTGAGCTCAGGCAATCCACCTGCCTTGGCCTCTCAAAGCACTAGGATTACAGGCGTGAGCCACCATGCCCGGCCTAAAGTTAATATTTAAATGCTGAAAAACATTTATTTGGATGAATTAAAAAATGTGAGTTGAAATACAAGCCAACCACAAGAGTTCTTCAGTTTCAAAAACACAAACAAGAAACATATGCATATTTTATATTTTACTTCTGGTTCTTTACTAGAATTTTGCTCATGACATGAAAAAATATTTTCTGAACTGCATTTTTTTCTGATTATAAGAAAATTAACTAGATGAAAATTCTGAAAAAAAATTTTAATAATCATTGGCTTTACTTAATGTTATCCCTTTGGGAAAAATTTCCTTCAATATACAGATAACCTACATAGAGGACTAGAATATTTAAAACTCTGCTTCTTGTGCTCATACACTAATTCAACATTTTCTGAGCAACAACATGTGCTAGGTCTGAGGAAGGTACAGAGGGTAGAAGTTGAATAAAACATCCCTTTGTCCCTAAACAGACATGCAAATAGAATCGCAAGACAAAGTTGTAAGTGTATTACAGAGATAAGATCAAAGTACTGTGGAAGGAGAGAGGGGGAGAAATTTTACCCAAACGGTTAAATAAGACTAAGAGACTTTAATGGGAGTGAATTAGGAATTCAGCAGGATTGTTTTACAAGACCATACTGATAAAACAGGATGCGGTAAAGAAGTTGGCGAAAATCTGCCAAAACCAAGATGGCAAAAAAAGCAACCTCTGGTTGTCCTCACTGCTCATTATATGCAAATTATAATATACTATCATACTAAAGGAAACTCCCATCAGTGCCAAGGCAGTTTACAAATACCATGGCAACATCCAGAAGTTACTCTGTATGGTCTGAAAGAAAGATGAACTCTCAGTTTCAAAAATGCCCTGTCCGTTTCCAAAACTCATGAATAATCCACGCCTTGTTTAGCACATGATCAAAAAAACCATAAAAGTAGCCAATCAGCAGCAGCCCTCAGGGCTCACTCTGTGACATCTTTTCTGATGACTGATGAAGTGACAATGGAGACATCCCCCAAGACCCCAAATTAAGATCAATCAGCATCACTTAGACCTAATTGGTGGGTGGGTCTCCCATAGTCTAGATTCAACTTACTGTCTTTTCCCTGCCCCGCTTTGATTTTGGTTCCTCTGTCTTTCCCTACATTCTTTATTTTGGACAGATGGGGAAGTGGCCGTAAGGCTTCTGGCTTTGAAGCCCAGTTGCAGTCTGCCATTGTCTGGGTGCCCCAGATGGGAGCACGTCTGGCCAGCCAAGTCCTTTGTAGCCCATCTGTTGCCCCTTCTCTCAGACCTTTTCTCGTTCATTTCTAATAACTGGCAATTTTACTTTTCTGTTCTTAGTGCCAAAATGCATGCTTATGTTTATTTCATTATCGTGTTTGTAGTCTTTGCTTTACCTATTTGGGCAATGGTTTAAGGCAGGACACTTGGTTGTGAGATGTCTCCTGTTGTGTTGACCTTGCAATGCCAAAATCATGTTGTTCTGTGGCCCCAGTTGTTTTAGGCCTAGTGTCTTTGGGGTTCACTATTGGCAACCCAAAGATGTTTCAGTTTTTGGCATTTGGTGCAGGGACCCTTGTTAGTTGATATTTGGATACTCTGGGTTTTTTGGCATTTAATACCACTGGCTGCCCCTGGATGCTCTGCAATGTTTGGAATTGGCATTCTCTCTAGGATTGTGAGTTAGAGTCCACCCTAAGGACATCATGGTTTTCCCTTTTCTTGTTTTCTATCCTAAAGTCATCATTTTCTGTAATAGCATTTCTACAAATTTACACATTTTTACCATTTTTCTTATTGTCACTTTATTTTACACTTTGCTATATGAGGTGAGAATTTGAGAGGAAAATAACTGAGCTCTTGCTAGACTTAGAAAAACTTTTGTCTAATAGATCCTTATTAGACATGGAGACAATGGCCAGTCCCGAAGAACTAGTCACTAGGCAGTCTTTTAGGCAATCAGAAAAATTCAAATTAGAAATCAAGCTTAGCCATGTGGAAAAGTCCCAGTTTTTTAGAGAGAGAATTTGGATCCAGCTATCATTTATAAAACAGTGAATTTGTGTTATTATTTCATGGCTAGAGTCCTAAGATAAAAGCTATTGGATCTTTGTTTATGTGTGTGTATACATATCTAGATGTGTTTATGTGTATGTACATTTCATTATGTTATATATTGTGTCTACAGAGTGCCAAACAGGCTTATAAATAAAAGACCATTCATAAGTTAAGTCCAAGCATTTTTCAAGTTCATGTGATAAGTTCATGGAAATTTAGGATTAATAAAAATTTGTATATAATTCTGTATATGAAATATGCCAAAGAAGATATGATCTTATTGAAAAAAAATTGGCCAATTGGACATTACTTAAAAGTGGGTCTTAAAATATCGATTTAAGAAGAAATCAGAAATAAGTGAAAAAGATAAAAAATCAGTAGGAAAGAAAAATGCAAAGGTTATGAATACAATTATGTATTTTTGGTGATAAAGGTAAAAGGAAATAAATGTTATATGAGAAAGGATCATGTGTGGTAAATTCTTGTCCTAAAGTAGAATGACTTTTTAGGAAAGAAAAAAGTATACGATAAGTCAAAAAGTCTAAGCATGTCATAGATGATCTATGTAAGTCATGATAAGGTTTATAAAAAGGGAGCTTATTTTAAAAATTATATATAATTAAATTAGCCATAACTGAAATAAAATTTATTTATAATACACCATGGAATACTATGCAGCCATAAAAAATGATGAGTTCATGTCCTTTGTAGGGACATGGATGAAGCTGGAAACCATCCTTCTCAGCAAACTATCGCAAGGAGAAAAAACCAAAAACCGCATGTTCTCACTCATAGGTGGGAATTGAACAATGAGAACACATGGACACAGGAAAGGGAACATCACACACTGGGGCCTGTTATGGGGTTGAGGGAGTGGGGAGGGATAGCATTAGGAGATATACCTAATGTTAAATGACGAGCTGATGGGTGCAGCACACCAACATGGCACACGTATACATATGTAACTAACCTGCACGTTGTGCACATGTACCCTAAAACTTAAAGTATAATTAAAAAAAGAAAAAATAATAATCTTTCTAAATTTTGGTCCCCTGTGTTAAAACAAGTTTTCTTATTTAAGTATTGGTTCGCTTATAGTAAGACCACAAGAAATACTGACTTTTAATTCTAAAATCTGTTTTAAGACGTCTCAGCTTTACATCAGTTTCTTTTCCCTTGTAAAGGTGTACCCTTTGCAAGCTCAAAAATGACTGTTCTAGCCTTCTTCTGGGAAAAAACAATATAACACTCATCTCATACTGCAGCTCAGTAGCTAAAGATTTGCTCTTTCATAATGATGGCTAGGGTTCAATTCCTGGCTTAGGGACTCAGTTTTTTCTGGTTTGACACTTGTAGGACTTTTGCATTTATTTATTCTTTTTCCCTCCATGTACAGTTTCTGATTTTCTGACGTGAATTTTCTTTTCTCTGAGCTACCTTAGCGGTGATTCTAGATGCTTGGCATCTCTCCGAAGTCATCTTGTGCATCTGTGGTTAAGTCAGAAAACCTTAGTGATGCTTATTGGTTTCACTTGAGAAAACACCTTTGAGGAAAGAAAAAAAAATGGCTTAAAAGCCAGAAGTTTCAGCTATTTGTTCTGGCTATAGTCTGTCTGGTATAAAGAGATTTAAAAGGATTATTTTTAAAAGAGCTCTGTGTTTAAAAGTCAGCTTAATTAAAAATAAATATCCAAGATATATACATATATGTATATTTTTTCTCAAATGCTTTTATGCATTTTCTCTTCTTCGATCTTGTTTTTTTTCCTTGAGAAAAAGTGGTGTTTTTCCCAGTGAAGTAATTTATTTCTATAGTCTGTCATCTTGCCACCCTCAACATCCACCTGAGGCATTGTCCACCGCTTCTGACAATAGTAGCAGAATATTTGCTTAGATCCTCTTATGTACAATTTGCTGTGCTACTTAGAGAACACAAACTTTTAGTGATATAGTTTGGCTCTGTGCACCCACACAAATCTCATGTTGAATTGAAATCCCCAATGTTAAGGGAAGGACCTGGTGGGAGGTGATTGGATCATGGGGACAGATTTCCTCTTTGTTCTTCTCCTCACAGTTAGTGAATTCTCAAGAGATCTGATTGTTTAAAAGGGTGTTGCACTTCCCCTTGTGCTCTCTTTCTCTCTCTCCTGCTGCCACATGAAGACCTGCTTGCTTCCCCTTCACACTTCCTCCATGCTGGTAAGTTTCCTGAGGTCTCCCTAGCCATGATTCCTGTACAGCCTATGAAACTGTGAGTCAACTAAACCTCTTTTCTTTATAAATTACCCAGTCTCAGGTAGTTCTTGATAGCAGTGTGAGAATTGATGTATTCAGAAAATCTAAAATTACTAATGTTCAGCTTTTAAAATGTCATATTTTGCTCTATAATTTTATATGTTGTAAAATATTTGATTGATATATATGGTAGAGTTTTGTGTCTGGATTGTTCAAACAAACCTACAGAATTCTTTAAGATAAAAATGTAATTATTACATTAGTCCTATCAGCAATTATGACAGCTAACCGTTGATAAAAGATGATAAATTTATTTCTATAAAGCAATTTAACATCAAGTTTAAAAAAATAATTTTGGATAATTAACAAGGTATACAATACATAAAAATATAACTGCAGTCTACATATAAAGGGCCAAAGTATATTTAGGAAAAGATCATCTTAATTGTGTTTCCTTCATCTGCTAGGCGACTTTAAAAAATAAATTTCCAATGTTTTCCACAACAACATAGTACAGCTTAGAAACACATGACAAGTGGGCATATAGATTATATTTTCAAAATGTTTGCATCTTACAAAAATCATATTTATACTGATATTTTTCCACTGACATTTTCCCACTGTGAGCATAGAGAGTAACAGTTGAACTGTCATAGATAAAATTAAAATGCTTCTAGAGGACAAAGCTGGTTGTTGTGGACAGTCGAAGCAAAACGAAAAGAGTGGAGACAAACGAGAAGCAATTATTATTAAGTCAAAGGACACAATTTACTTGCTAAAACATAATCCTCCAAAAATGGCAGTGTTTATCACCCCTAGATCAACACAGTCTCATTTTATGTCAACACATATTAATATCGTTAATTGCAAGATCTAGAATTTTTGTCACTTTAAAGACCGGAAATTTAAGTATGCAATAATTAGCTACTTAGCCAACATTCTATTACTACTATGAAATCTTTTATCTTTTTCAAGTGAAATTCCTGTGAATATCAAATATATTTATTACCATCAATAACAAAATGATTTAAAAATGAATCTGTAATGAAGGTCAGCAAAGGTACAAAGGGATAAATTCCTCATCGATATGTCATTTTATTATCTTTCTATATTACTTTCTAGAATAAATTTTTTCCAATTAAAATGACAAGAGTGAAAACACTTCATTAAGTTAGACTATACTTGTTTGCTCTATATATTCTTTATATAGAATATATAGAGCCATATTCTCCTTCAGAAACAATCTTATTTTTTGTTTGTTTTTAGTCAGAATTTTATTTTATTTTCCTTTGTTTCCCAATTATTATCATCATATATATTTTACTTAGAAAAATAATAAAACTCTGAAGCAATGCAGGGCTACTGTTAATTTCCTATATTGGGCATAATTTCGAAATCACATAGCACATTGCCACCAGAATAGGTCTTCAAACTTTATAATAAAAATATTAATTTATTTGTTTGTTTGTTTTCTTGCTTGTTTGTTTTCTTGGCTGCTTCTCTTCCAAGTCTATGCTGTAATGCTATTTCCAGGTAAAATGATATAAATATGATTTAAACAAAAGATGTGGGCCGGGAGCAGTGGTTCTCGCCGGTAATCCTAGCACTTTAGGAGGAGTTGGCGGGTAGATCACTTGAAGCCAGGAGTTCAAAAAAAGCCTGGCCAACATAGTGAGATCCAAACTCTGTTAAAATAGAAAAATTAGCTGGGCGTGGTGGCACACGTGTGTAATTCCAGCTACTCAGGGGGCTGAGGCACCAGAGTCACTTGATCCTGGGAGATGGAAGTTGCAGTGAGCTGTGATTGTACCACTACACTCCAGCGTGGGTGATAGGGCAAAACTGTCTAAAAAAAAAAAATGTGGATCAAGTATGATGACCTTTTCTCACTCTTATTTTTTCCTGATTATAAAAATCACATATAGATGCCCATTTTAGAACACTGTGGGTAATTCAAAACACAGATCAACTATCTGGGGCTTCAAAATAATATTAAAGAGCAGCTGTTGAGAATTAATCGAGTACATGATGAACTCATAGAGATGATGTTTCTAGCATGAAAAAAAGGGAAAAAGAATAATATGCCCTTCAAACGCCAGGGTCTTTATTGATTACAAACTCTGAAGAAAGCCAAAATGGTGACTGGAACAGAAAACACCATTAATAAGAAAGGAACATTAGATGCAGTACTTTTAAATTTCTCTTCTTTGATTTTATGTAGTGTATAAAATTGCAATTTTAAAATCTAATTGTCCCCATAAATGACTAATTTGGTCCCTCCATGTTTGTGTTTTTCCATGAAATAAACTTATTCCTAGCTGCTTTCTGAATTAACCCCAAAGGAGAAACAACTGATGGCTTGGTCATAGCAAAATAGTCCAAATAGTTCTTTTAGAGGGTGCCCTAAAAGCTCAAGCTATGATGGAACATGAGAAATCATGTAATTTCATTTATCCTTTTCCTTGCTTATAATTGTCATTAAGATCTGACAAAAATTCTTCTGCTCCTGGAGTTATGATACCATTTTGGTTAGATTGTTATGAACCAGGGTTGAACAACAGGTTTGGTCATAACTGGTTATGAAGACATACAAGCTCAGGCAAATAGATAGTGTGAAAAAAATAAAAACAAAACCATTGAGTAATTCATATATATTGATATTAATCACAAGGCATGTCCAGAAACCAAGAGAAGCTTATAAAGAAAAATGAAGAGTTTAATTCAAGCACCATTAACTAGTGTCCCAAATTTCATTACACATGCACAGTTTTTGCTAAGAAATCAAAGAAATTTAAATAGGCAGAAAATGGGAGACACTTCAGCATTGGTAAGGGCAGCATTTCATATATAGAGACATGAAATAGATCTCTTGGTAGTTCCTGAGTAAGAGGCAGGTGATTTTTAACAAGGGAATTTGGAAGACATACATTTGGTATATGTACCTTGCATATAGTAGGCACTTAAAAGACAGTACCAAATTAACAATTTGAAATTAGGGCATCGATTCAGCCATATGGTAATAAAGCCTTAAAATGTCACATACAAATACACACAAACACACACATATGCACACACACACACACACATATACACATACATATACACACACATATATATTTCATAACTATTTTTAGAAACATAGGGCTTATTTATTGATAAAGATTTCCAAATAATTAATTAGGGCTTCAATATTTATTACATAATCAACTCATCAATTGCAGAGAGATTTTTTAAAACTTATAAGTGGAGTTTTAAAAAGTCTGTTCACGTTTTATGAGAAAATGATGCCTAATTTTAATCTTTGTCTTCATTTCTGCCTCTATTTAAATTGTTAAGTGGCACTTCTCTATAATACCTGTAACCTCTAAAACAATATAAGACTTGTAAGTATTTAAAACACATATAAAGAATTTCTTTTCTATTTAATTCTTTTTGTGATGTGAATATGAAGACTTAAAGAATATGAGGCATGGAAAACATTAATCCCTTGATTCATTTCAGGGAAAACACAGACAAGACTTAGAATTTTTATCATCTAAAATGCATGGCACCTGTCTTCACTGAAATAATATTAAACCAAACAATTGTTGATGGAATAATCATGCCATTATAATTTACAATGAGGCAGTTAAGACTTTGTAACTTATACTTCAAGTCTATTGTATGTATCAGATTTCATGAGGATACTCTCAACTTAAACTTTATCAAAATGTTAATATTCTGAACATAATAAGAACTATGTAAATGTCAGTGTTTCAGCTTATTTTTAATGTCATTATACAGTAGTCTACACTTATCTTTTGTTTTGCTTTCTGCAGTTTCAGTTCTGCGCAGTCAATCACAGTTTCAGACTGCACAGTCGATCACAGTCTGAAAATATTACAAACAATAAGATATTTTGAAAGAGAGGGAGAGACTATATTCACATAACTTTTATTACAGTAAATTGTTATTATTGTTCTATTTAATTATTCATTATTGTTGTCAATCTCCAACTGTGCCTAATTTACACATTACATTTTATCATAAGTATCTATGTATGTATGTATAGGCAAAAACATAGCATACATAGGATTTGATATGAACAATGGTTTCAGGCATCCACTGGGGATCTTGGAATTTATCCCCCATGGATAAGTGGGGATTACTAGAACCAAAATAAACATTAAGGCTCAATTATAGCAAGTATATCAAAACTTGCACTCCAGCCTGGGCAAAAAGAGCGAAACTCCATCTCAAAAAAAAAAAAAAGAGACTGTTCATGATTCCATCTCACCCTCTTGTCCTCCTGCACTCCCTCATGAGAAGAACCTTCCCTGAATAGCTGCTGATGCCAGATTTAGGAGACAGGTATACTAGACCTGAATCCCACCTTTAGATAAAGCCAAGTTACATCTCTTTAGCTTAATCCAGACAAGCAAAACAGAACCACAGTTATTCCAAAGACCAGTGACCATTGAGATGTGTAGCTGTTTGTTATGCAACGTTAGTGAAGCATAACAAATACAGTAATTAGTGTACTTCTTTGGCTTTATATTGATATTCTTTATTCAATTTCTAGGTTATTATCACGTTACATATGTTTGCATTGAGCTACTTCTTCTCTTTTGTGGAATCTGGCAAGGTTAAAAACAACAAGTTTAAATAGTTTGTAAAAGTAAATTGTTTAAGATGTACTATAAAAATTCTGTAGCTAAAATATATTGTAAACATGTGTTTTTATTCTTAGTTATGAGGAGGATGTAATAACAAAAAAAGAACAAAATACTCTCCATACACCCCATATATATTAATACTGATGAATGGTTCTGGCTTGCTTTGTCTTCATAGCATAATATAGGAATTATCTAACAGGTAAATACAAACAGGCTTCTTTTTGTATAGTACCATGTTAACTGAAACTCATATGTATCAGAACTATGTTCTCATTTTGCATGGTTCTGTGTAACTAAAATTAAATCAAAGCAAGGACATGGTTCCAATATGCCTGGTTTTCAGTTAACAAGGTACCATGCAAAATGTGGATGACTAGTACTGTTGTTAAAAGTTTGTTGTTTAATAAAATATAACTTTGTAATGTTACTTTGATTATTAGCATTTCAACATTGTTACCTTAGAAATCATAACAAATAAATAATGATTTATCTTGGTCTCTCTTTCCTTCTATGTATTTGATGACTATTATTTCCTTTATTTCTTTCTCTTTCTTTTTTTTTTTTTTTTTTTTTTGTAGTCTCGCTCTATCGCCAGGCTGGAGTGCAGAGGCACAATCTCGGTTCACTGCAACCTCCGCCTCCTGGGTTCAAGCGATTCTCCTGCCTCAGCACTCCTGAGTAGCTGAAACAACAGGCATGAGCCACCACACCCAGCTAATTTTTGTATTTTTAGTAGAGACGGGGTTTCACCATGTTGGCCAGGATGGTCTTGATCTCTTGACCTCATGATCCTCCCACCTTGGCCTCCCAAAGTGCTGGAATTACAGGCGTGAGCCACTGTGCCTGGCCGATGACTTTTATTTTCTTTAAGGTTTCTTTAGTTACCTTCAATCTATTTAAAGGAAAATATTGATTGAATGAATCATAGTTGATTAAACTGAGAGGTGTTTAACTAAAATAAACAATACATTCATTCAATGTTAACCTGAAGACTCCATAAATATCTGAAAAAATTGAAATCACACCTAGTTTATGAGGACAAATCAATTCTAAGACAATAAAACCTACTTGTCTTTTATAAACAGTGAAATGTAGGAAATCTGGTGATAAACTTTTTGGTTTTAATTCCATGTGAATCTCTGAGGCAAATCTCCATACTGAATGTATTTATATTAAATTCTAACTCCTAAATACAGATGTTATTGAGTGAAATAAGTTTGAGTATAATTTTTTCTATTTTCTATTTTTAAATAAATCTGTCACAGATCATTTTCTGAAAAGAACACAATATTTTATGTGTTTCATGCTATCCCTGAATAGTTCTGTAACTGTCACCATAGAAACTGAGGCCATTCTGTTAAGCTTCTTTAATTGTTGTGACTTCAAGTGGCATCCATCGTGGTTTTGCTGAATCACTCAGAACCAATGTTATCTATTAATAAATTATGTTCCCCAGTACGGGTAAAGTTACACTATTAAATAAGTAATGTTTGTTCTTTGAGAGGTTTCTGTTTATTTTAAACTCTGAGCAAATAACCATAATAAAAAGATTTTTGCAAAAGTCATTTAAATGAATGCTTTTCCTGAGCTAAATAAAAACATGAATTGACTTTAATTCATTTTAATGTCTGACTGTCTTTCTGTGGTAAAAGCAAAGTGGTTTGATTATTCCTCCTCCTCCTCCCTGCCATTCTATTGCATTGCTGCAGGGGCCTGATAATTATAGAAATATCTATTTATAATCTAGAACCCCAAACTGTATAAATGTGGGCCTCTTATTTAATGTATTGGATCCTTAATATCTCCTTATGGAAGATGATGATCTCTGCTATAATTCACAGAACTGTCACTAAAAATAAATGACATTATGATATAATCTATAAATCATTGTTCATTTCTATTATAATTACTTGCAATTTCTTTAAGTATCCATATAAAAATTAGTGGGCATCTTTAAGCACAAATGTAATTAATTGTATTATATTTTAGAGTACTGTTTATTTTGGAGAAGTTATTTATATATTTGCCTTTTCAAGCACCCAGTCGTCTATAAGAATGAAGGAAAGCAGATGTCAATGCAGCTAAGCTGTAATTGCCTAGCAGATGGCTAGACATCCATTTCTAAAGTAAGTAGGCAAAAGTCTAAATAAATTAACCAACCTGGGAGATTAAGTACCAAGCTGTCCATTAACAATGGTCATGTTAATGCATGTCAAATTCATAACAACACTAATCCTTATAGCTTTTAAAGCACTATTCTCTAGTCACAACATGCTTCACAAAGTTATTAACCATTTCAACAAGGTTGGTTTTGAGGACTCAAAAATTTAAGTGACGTTCCAATATAGAATCCAATTCTCTAAAATTGAAAGGGAGGGTTGAACACCACATTAGTGTTCATACAAACTGTTACAGGGAAAAAATAGACAAGAACTGTGAAAATAGAGAAGATTCAAGTCATTTTAAAAGGTAGTAAATTTGCAAGCAGGGCAATGTTGAAGCTAGATTAAGATTAGGAACTAGAAATTATAAGAGCATCTGAAATGAATGTGAATGAACAGAAGCTACAGAAATCAGGTGCCCAGGCAAGGAGACCCAGGGTCAGTAACCAAAACAAGGGATATAGGCATCAACAAAGCTGTACGAGGAGCTGAAAAAGACTAGTATTTTGAAGGAAAAAAAAAATCTACCCCAGGATATCCATTTCCTGTCTATGGCGTGAACTGTTGTAAAAGTGTATATGTTGGACTTAGGACCATAGGTGTTAGGGTATAGGGAGTTGATTTAGTAATAGAATTTTATTTTAACTTTTATTTGCAAAAAATAGGTAGTCTTCAATAAAATTACTGAGCACCAACTATACCAGATACGTTGCAGACATTTGTTTTTATCCCTCTAATGAAGTCTACAAACTGGGCATAAATTTCCAAAAGGATAAATCCCTGAGATTCAAAGAAATTTTGTAGTTTGTTCAAATTTCAAAGGTGACCAAACTCTCATGAGATAGAACAAGAATTTAGGAGTGCTTTACTTCCAAATATGTAGTCAGTTTTGGAATAAGTGTGATGTGGTGCTGAGAAGAATGTATATTCTGTTGATTTGGGGTGGAGAGTTCTGTAGATGTCTATTAGGTCTGCTTGGTGCAGAGCTGACTTCAATTCCTGGATATCCTCGCTAACTTTCTGTCTCGTGGATCTGTCTAATGTTGACAGTGGGATGTTAAAGTCTCCCATTATTATTGTGTGGGAGTCTAAGTCTCTTTGTCGGTCACTAAGTACTTGCTTTATGAATCTGGGTGCTCCTGTATTGGGTGCATATATATTTAGGATAGTTAGCTCTTCTTGTGGAATTGATCCCTTTACCATTATGTAATGGCCTTCTTTGTCTCTTTTGACCTTTGTCGGTTTAAAGTCTGTTTTATCCAAGACTAGGATTGCAACCCCTGCCTTTTTTTGTTTTCCGTTTGCTTGGCAGATCTTCCTCCATCCCTTTATTTTGAGCCTATGTGTGTCTCTGCACATGAGATGGGTCTCCTGAATACAGCACACTGATGGGTCTTGACTCTTTATCCAATTGCCAGTCTGTCTTTTAATTGGAGCATTTAGCCCATTTACATTTAAGGTTAATTTATTGTTATGTGTGAATTTGATCCTGTCATTATGATGTTAGCGGATTATTTTGCTCATTAGCTGAGGCAGTTTCTTCCTAGCCTTGATGGTCTTTACAATTTAGCATGTTTTTGCAGTAGCTGGTACCGGTTGTTCCTTTCCATGTTTAGTGCTTCCTTCAGGAGCTCTTTTAGGGCAGGAGCGGTGGTGACAAAATCTCTCAGCATTTGCTTGTCTGTAAAGGATTTTATTTCTCCTTCACTTATGAAGCTTAGTTTGGCTGGATATGAAATTCTGGGTGGAAAATTATTTTTTCTTTAAGAATGTTGAATATTGGATCCCACTCTCTTCTGGCTTGTAGAGTTTCTAGCAAGAGATCAGCTGTTAGTCTGATGGGCTTCCCTTTGTGGGTAACCCGACCTTTCTCTCTGGCTGCCCTTAACATTTTTTCCTTCATTTCAACTTTGGTGAATCTGACCATTATGTGTATTGGAGTTGCTCTTCTCGAGGAGTATCTTTGTGGCATCTCTGTATTTCCTGAACTTGAATGTTGGCCTGCCTTTCTAGGCTGGGGAAGTTTTCCTGTATAATATCCTGCAGAGAGTTTTCCAACTTGGTTCCATTCTCCCCATCACTTTCAGGTACAACAATCAGATGTAGATTTGGTCTTTTCACATAGTTCCATATTTCTTGGAGGCTTTGTTCATTTCTTTTTACTCTTTTTTCTCTAAACTTGTCTTCTCACTTCATTTCATTCACTTGATCTTCAATCACTGATACCCTTTCTTCCAGTTGATGGAATCGGCTACTGAAGCTTGTGCATTCATCACGTAGTTCTCGTGCCATGTTTTTCAGCTCCATCAGGTAATTTAAGGACTTCTCTACAGTGGTTATTCCAGTTAGCCATTTGTCTAATCTTTTTTCAAGGTTTTTATCTTCTTTTCAAAGGGTTCGAACTTCCTCCTTTAGCTCGGAGAAGTTTGATCTTCTGAAGCCTAGTTGGAAGTAAAGCACTCCTCAGCAAATGTAAAAGAATAGAAGCTTTAACAAACTATCTCTCAGATCACAGTGCAATAAAACTAGAACTCAGGATTAAGAAACTCACTCAAAACTGCTCAGCTACATGGAAACTGAACAACCTGCTCCTGAATGACTACTGGGTACATAACAAAATGAAGGCAGAAATAAAGATGTTCTTTGAAACCAATGAGAACAAAGACTCAACATATCAGAATCTCTGGGACACATTTAAAGCAGTGTGTAGAGGGAAACTTATAGCACTAAATGCCCACAAGAGAAAGCAGGAAAGATCTAAAATTGACACCCTAACATCACAATTAAAGCAACTAGAGAAGCAAGAGTAAACACATTCAAAAGCTAACAGAAGGCAAGAAATAACTAAGATCAGAGCACAACTGAAGGAGATAGAGACACAAAAAGCCCTTCAAAAAAATCAATGAATCCAGGAGCTGGTTTTTTGAAAAGATCAACAAAATTGATAGTCTCCTAGCCAGACTAATAAAGAAGAAAAGAGAGAAGAATCAAATGGATGCAATAAAAGATGCTAAAGGGGATATAACCACCAATCCCACAGATATACAAACTACTATTAGAGAATACTATAAACACCTCTATGCAAACCAACTAGAAAATCTAGAAAAAATGGATAAATTCCTGGACACATACACTCTCCCAAGACTAAACCAGGAAGAAGTTGAATCCCTGAACAGACCAATAACAGGCTCTGAAATTGAGGCAATAATTAACAGCCTACCAACCAAAAAAAGTCCAGGACCAGACAGATTCACACCCAAATTCTACCAGAGGTACAAGGAGGAGCTGGCACCATTCCTTCTGAAACTATTCCAATCACTAGAAAAAGAGGGAATCCTCCCTAACTCATTTTATGAGGCCAGCATCATCCGGATACCAAAGCCTGGCAGAGACACAACAAAAAAAGAGAATTTGAGACCAATATCCCTAATGAACATCGATGCAAAAATCCTCAATAAAATACTGGCAAACCAAATCCAGCAGCACATCAAAAAGCTTATCAACCATTATCAAGTGGGCTTCATCCCTGGGATGCAAGGCTGGTTCAACATATGCAAATCAATAAACTTAATCCAGCATATAAACAGAACCAAAGACAAAAACCACATGATTATCTCAATAGATGCAGAAAAGGCCTTTGACAAAATTCAACAACACTTCATGCTAAAAACGCTCAATAAATTAGGTATTGGTGGGACGTCTCTCAAAATAATAAGAGCTATTTATGGCAAACCCAGAGCCAATATCATACTGAATGGCCAAAAACTGGACCTACTCCCTTTGAAAACTGGCACAAGACAGGGATGCCCTCTCTCACCACTCCTATTCAACATAGTGTTGGAAGTTCTGGCCAGGGCAATCAGGCAGGAGAAAGAAATAAAGGGTATTCAATTAGGAAAAGAGGAAGTCAAATTGTCCCTGTTTGCAGACAACATGATTGTATATTTAGAAAACCCCATCGTCTCAGGCCAAAATCTCCTTAAGCTGATAAGCAAATTCAGCAGTCTCAGGATATAAAATCAATGTGCGAAAATCACAAGCATTCTTATACACCAATAGCAGACCAACAGAGAGCCAAATCATGAGTGAACTCCCATTCACAATTGCTTCAAAGAGAATAAAATACCTAGGAATCCAACTTATGAGGGATGTGAAGGACCTCTTCAAGGAGAACTTCAAACCACTGCTCAAGGAAACAAGACGACACAAAAAATGGAAGAACATTCCATACTCATGGATAGGAAGAATCAATATCGTGAAAATGGCCATACTGCCCAAGGTAATTTATAGTTTCAATGGCATTCCCATCAAGCTACCAATGACTTTCTTCACAGAATTGGAAAAAACTACTTTAAAGTTCCTATGGAACCAAAAAGGGCCCGCATTGCCAAGACAATCCTAAGCCAAAAGAACAAAGCTGGAGGCATTATGCTACCTCACTTCAAACTATACTACAAGGCTATAGTAACCAAAACAGCATGGTACTGGTACCAAAACAGAGCTATAGACCAATGGAACAGAACAGAGGCCTCAGAAATAATACCACACATCTGCAACCATCTGATCTTTGACAAACCTGACAAAAACAAGAAATAGGGAAAGGATTCCCTATTTAAAAAATGGTGCTGGGAAAACTAGCTAGCCATATGTAGAAAGCTGAAACTGGATCCCTTCCTTAAACCTTATATAAAAATTAATTTAAGATGGATTAAAGACTTACATGTTAGACATAAAACCATAAAATCCCTACAAGAAAACCTAGGCAATACCATTCAGGACATAGGCATGGGCAAGGACTTCATGTATAAACACCAAAAGCAATGGCAACAAAAGCTAAAATTGGCAAATGGGATCTAATTAAACTAAAGAGCTTCTGCACAGCAAAGGAAACTACCATCAGAATGAACAGGCAACCTACAGAATGGGAGAAAATTTTTGCAATCTACTCATCTCACAAAGGGCTAATATCCAGAATCTACAATGAACTCAAACAAATTTACAAGAAAAAAACAAACAACCCCATCAAAAAGTGGGTGAAGGATATGAACAGACACTTCTTAAAAGAAGACATTTATGCAGCCAAAAGACACATGAAAAAATGCTCATCATCACCGACCATCAGAGATATGCAAATCAAAACCATAATGAGATACCATCTCACACCAGTTAGAATGGCAATCATTAAAAAGTCAGGAAACAACAGGTGCTGGAGAGGATGTGGAGAAATAGGAACACTTTGACACTGTTGGTGGGACTGTAAACTGGTTCAACCATTGTGGAAGACAGTGTGGTGATTCCTCAGGGATATCGAACTAGAAATACCATTTGACCCAGCAATCCAATTACTGGGTATATACCCAAAGGATTATAAATCAAGCTGCTATAAAGACACATGCACACGTATGTTTATTGCGGCACTATTCAAAATAGCAAAGACTTGGAACCAACCCAAATGTCCAACAATGATAGACTGGATTAAGAAAATGTGCCACATATACACCATGGAATACTATGCAGCCATAAAAATGGATGAGTTCATGTCCTTTGTAGGGACATGAATGAAGCTGGAAACCATCATTCTCAGCAAACTATCGCAAGGACAAAAAAACAAACACCGCATGTTCTCACTCATAGGTGGGAATTAAACAATGAGAACACCTGGACACAGGAAGGGGAACATCACACACTAGGGCCTGTCATGGGGTTGGGTGGAGGGAGGATGGATATCGTTAGGAAATATACCTAATGTAAATGACGAGTTAATGGGTGCAGCACACCAACATGGTGCATGTATACATATGTAACAAACCTGCACATTGTGCACATGTACCCTAGCACTTGAAGTATAATAAATAAAAATTAAAAAAAGAATTTAGAAGTGACGTACTACCTATTAATAATTTCCCTCTTTGCCCAAGATTAGCAAACTCAATTGATATAAGAATGCTGACTCCCAAGACTCTGTTCTTTACCCCAGTCCTATATACTCCCTAAAACTGTTTTAAAGGGGTATATCTTAAAATAGCACACTAGTTCTCTTTTGCAGCTCAAAAGAGGATTTTCACTTATAAGATTGGTATCTAAGATACTAGAATTCATTTTTAATACTTGAGGTCATATACCATTTCTCTATGCAGAAATATTTTCTCTTCATCTTCCTCTGGTACACTGGTGTTAATGACCCTGTAGGATATACTGAAACATTAATCAAGGGTATGCTTCTTGAAAGAAATAAAAGTTGAAAAATGGCTTTTGTTATCAGAGAAAACTTAATCATGAATTTGGAAAACTGTCTACCCATAGTATTAATTATTAATCCCAAACTCAGTAAAGTACAAGGCAGTCTCATTATTCTGGTATGTATTATCCAAGTTGTTATATTTATGATTCTGTGTAGAGAAGTAAAATTTTCCATACAATAAAATATTCACTAGTGAACTGACTACCTACAAAATTAATCCCTCCTCAAACCTCTCCTGACATGCCTATCCCTCTCCTCTGCACAAGGTGCTTAAAAATATAATTGTTACATTAATTGATGGTTCTAAAAGACTTCAGGGAAAATCAACAATATCCTTGTATAATCTTATGAAAATTACCCTCTTTAACATCATTATATACAATTGAAGTGACAGATGTCATATGTTCAGAGCGAGCATTCTATTTTGTACCTTTCAAACATTGCAATTATACCCTAAGTTTTGTAAAATGTAAGGCTAAACAAATTATTTTCATGTTGTCTCATTTCCCACCATTTAAACCTTTTCTCATTATTTCTTATGCAATTTTGGTCTCCACATTTACTAGATTCATACTTAGAGGGCTTTTATTAATACATATTATCTTTAGATGTATGAGGCTTTCTTGATTGAAATATATTAAAATAGAGAGGACGTCGCCTGGTGCAGTGGCTCACCCTTGTAATCTCAGCACTTTGGGAGGCCGAGTGGGGCGGATCACCTGAGGTCAGGAGTTTGAAATCAGCCTGGCCAACATGGTGAAACCCCATCTCTACTAAAAATACAAAAATTAGCTGGGTGTGGTGGTGGGTGCCTGTAGTCCCAGCTACTCGGGAGGCTGAAGCAGGAGAATGGTGTGAACCATGGAGGCCGAGGCGGAGCTTGCAGTGTGCTGAGATCACGCCACTGTACTCCAGCCTGGGCAACAGAGCGAGACTCCGTCTCAAAATAAATAAATAAAATAAAATAAAATAAAAATAGAGAGGACTTAAACAATCATGTAGTCCAGACACTCATTTTAAATTTCCTCACAATTGATGAATCAGGAACAGGGAACATGCTATCTCTGAAGGTCTAATTTTCCCCATTTCTTCTGGGTTATGAACTATTCTGAACATTCAAGACTGTTCAAATGGCAATCCTTATAAGAAGACAATCTACTAAGTGTTGACTTCTCCACTGCAACTCATTAAAACACTAGATTAAGCCAGGTGCGGTGGCTCATGCCTGTAATCACAGCACTTTGGGAAGCCAAGGTGGGCAGATCACTAGGTCAAGAGATGGAGAACAGCCTGGCCAACATGGTGAAACTCCATCTCTACTAAAAATACAAAAATTAGCCGGGCATAGTGGCTTGTGCCTGTAGTTTCAGCTACTCCAGAGGCTGAGGCAGAATCGCTTGAACCCAGAGGCGCAGGTTGCAGTGAGCCGAGATTGTGCCACTGCACTCCAGCCTAGTGACAGAACAAGACTTCGTGTCAAACAAACAAACAAACAAAGAAACACTAGATTAAATATTCATTCTTTCAGCTGTTTATTCCATACATGCTTATTGAGGCCCTTTTAGAATCTGGTGTTGTGCAAAGACCTGCAAACGCACCCATGCATAAGGGGAACAATCCCTGCTTTCATCAAATTTGAAAACCTATATGATAAATACTGAACAAACAAGTATATGATAGAAAGGAATATTATGTACAGAGAGATAAAATGACTACTGTACATTAAAATTGTCAGGGAAGTGCACTTATGATTGTCTCAAAGTGACATATATATTCTGTTGCTTAATGAGATGACCTTCTGTGCATGATCTAAGTCAGACAACTAAAAACAAAAGTTAAGTTGCTCTGTTCAAGAAAATAAGCAGGAATTCTGGCTGTGTTGATTATTACATAACAGAATATCCTGTAAAGAGGTATTAAAAAATAGAGACGGCCGGGACCAGTGGCTCACGCCTGTAATCCCAGCACTTTGGAAGGCCAAGGCAGGTGGATCACCTGAGGTCAGGAGTTCGAGACCAGCCTGGCCAACATTGTGAAACCTCATCTCTACTAAAAATACAAAAATTAGCTGGGCATGGTGGTGGGCCCCTGTAATCCCAGCTACTCAGAAGGCTGAGGCAGGAGAATTGCTTGAACCCAGGAGGCAGGGGTTGCAGTAAGCCGAGATCCTGCCTTTGCACTCCAGCCTGGGCAACAGAGCAAGACTTTGTCTCAAAATATATATAGAGAGAAAGACAGACATTTATTGTTATTTAGCTAGCATAAAGTCTAGTAGCTAAAAGTTGGACTGGCTTTCTTTTCAGCTTACTGTTTACTTCAATACATGCAGTCTTCCAGTCTCAAGATTGGTGCTCTAGGCCCAATTATACAGTCTTCATAGACAAAACCCAAATCATAAGGGAGAGAACGAGGCAAAAAAAGCAGTTTTTATCTATGTATCAAGAGGAAAATATTTCTTGGAAGCCCTTGGCTGACTTCCTATTATGTCTCTTTGTCCATAACTGACTCAGATACCCACCTGAAGACAAAAACCTAGAAAGTAGAAATGAGGTTTTCATGACTAGTGAAGTTTTAGACCAGACATGATTCATCACCTGTGGCAAGTGCATTGCTGATCCCAAAACAGAAAGCATTTACTTCAAGAAAGCTGAAAACTGTGTAGACAACCACCACTACTTGCCACAATGTGTTTTCAAGTAGCAACTTTGAAGTGACTATGAGGCACTCAAGGGGTAAATGTAGAAAAGTGAAGAAGGGTCCTGATAGAAGACTGAGGAAAATTATAGCAAGAGAGAAGCAGTCCATGTCAGGACTTTAATGGAACTTAAGGACAATAATGTCATGGAACCTATACATAAGAGGTTAAAAAATAGTCCAGATAGATCAAGAATTTAAGCAAAAGAGAATATTGGGAAAAGATGCAACCAGGAGGAAAAGAATTGATTATAATTTTCCTAGATTGAGGGGTGGGAGTGGGGACCACTGTACTTAACACAGTTCTTGGAATCAAAGCCCATGAATGTTTTATTTGACTATCAAGGAAAAGTGAAACAATAAAGGACCTCTGATTTGTGAACATCTACAATTGTTGATTAGGTTCCATATTTGTTTCTGTGGTAAATAAGGTAAAAGAAATTTGCAGAATGTAGACCACATGACAGAGTCCTCTGAGTTGAAGAAGTGACTTTTCAAAACAAAAGATGAATAGAAGTTAGCCAGTATATACGTAGCCATTAAAAAAACAAAACAAAACAAAAAATAAAAACATCATGTCTTTTGCAGGAATGTGCATGGAGCTGGAGATAATTATCCTTAGCAAACTAACAGAGGATCAGAAAACCACATACTGTATTTTCTCCCTTACAAGTGGGAACTAAATGATAAGAACACATGGATACATAGAGGGGAACAACACACACTGGGGCTTATCAGAGACTGGAGGGTGGAAGAAAGGAAAGGATCAGGAAAAATCACTAATGAGTACTAGGCTTAATACCTGGGTGATGAAATAACCTGTATCACAAACCCCCATGACACATAGGTATATGGTATATGTTTACCTACATAACAAAACTGCACATGTACCCCTAAACTTTAAATAAAAGTTAAATTGGGGGGGGGGGGTGGAGCCAAGATGGCCGAATAGGAACAGCTCCAGTCTGCAGCTCCCAGCGTGAGTGACACAGAATACAGTTGATTTCTGCATTTCCAAGTGAGGTACCAGGTTCATCTCACGGGGGAGTGCCAGACAGTGGGTGCAGGACAGTGGGTGCAGCGCACCGTGCGTGAACCGAAGCAGAGCGAGGCATCGACTCACCTGGGAAGTGCAACGGGTCAGGGAATTCACTTTCCTAGTCAAAGAAACGGGTGACAGACAGCACCTGGAAAATTGGGTCACTCCCACCCTAATACTGCGCTCTTCCAACGGGCTTAACAAAGGGCACACCAGGAGATTATATCCCGCAACTGGCTCAGAGGGTCCTACGCCCACAGAGCCTCGCTCATTGCTAGCACAGCAGTCTGAGATCAAACTGCAAGGTGGCAGCAAGGCTGGGGGAGGGGCGCCCGCCATTGCTCAGGCTAGAGCAGGTAAACAAAGTGGCTGGGAAGCTCGAACTGGATGGAGCCCACCACAGCTCAAGGAGGCCTGCCTGCCCCATAGCCTCCACCTCTAGGGGCTGGGCACAGACAAACAAAAGACAGCAATAACCTCTGCAGACTTAAATGTCCCTGTCTGACAGCTTTCAAGAGAGTAGTGGTTCTCCCAGCACACAGCTTGAGATCTGAGAATGAGCAGACTGTCTCCTCAAGAGGGTCCCTAACCCCCGAGTAGCCTAACTGGGAGGAACCCCCCAGTAGGGGCAGATTGACATATCACACAGCCGGCCAGGTACTCCTCTGAGACAAAACTTCCAGAGGAACCATCAGGGAGCAGCATTTGCGGTTCACCAATATCCACTGTTCTGCAGCCACCGCTGCTGATACCCAGGCAAACAGGGTCTGGAGTGGACCTCCAGTAAACTCCAACAGACCTGCAGCTGAGGGTCCTGACTGTTAGAAGGAAAACTAACAAACAGAAAGGACATCCACACCAAAAACCCGTCTGTATGTCACCATCATCAAAGACCAAAAGTAGATAAAACCACAAAGATGGGGAAAAAACAGAGCAGAAAAACCAGAAACTCTAAAAATCAAAGCACCTCTCCTCCTCCAAAGGAACACAGCTCCTCACCAGCAATGGAATAAAGCTGGATGGAGAATGACTTTGATGAGTTGAGAGAACAAGGCTTCAGAAGATCAAACTACTCCGAGCTAAAGGAGGAAGTTCGAACCAATGGCAAATAAGTTAAAAACTTTGAAAAAAAATTAGATGAATGGATAACTAGAATAACAAACACAGAGAAGTCCTTAAAGGACCTCATGGAGCCAAAAACCACGCACGAGAACTACGTGATGAATGCACAAGCCTCAGTAACCGATGCGATCAACTGGAAGAAAGGGTACCAGTGATGGAAGATGAAATGAATGAAATGAAGCGTGAAGAGAAGTTTAGAGAAAAAAGAATAAAAAGAAACGAACAAAGCCTCCAAGAAATATGTGACTATGTGAAAAGACCAAATCTACGTCTAATTGGTGTACCTGAAAGTGATGGGGAGAATGGAACCAAGTTGGAAAACACTCTGCAGGATATTATCCAGGACAACTTCCCCAATCTAGCAAGGCAGGCCAACATTCACATTCAGTGAATACAGAGAATGCCACAAAGATACTCCACAAGAAGAGCAACTCCAAGATACATAATTGTCAGATTCACCAATGTTGAAATGAAGGAAAAAATGTTAAGGGCAGCCAGAGAGAAAGGTTGGGTTATCCACAAAGGGAAGCCCATCACACTAACAGCTGATCTCTCAGCAGAAACTCTACAAGCCAGAAGAGAGTGGGGGCCAATATTCAACATTCTTAAAGAAAAGAATTTTCAACTCAGAATTTCATATCCAGCCAAACTAAGCTTCATAAGTGAAGGAGAAATAAAATACTTTACAGACAAGCAAATGCTGAGAGATTCTGTCACCACCAGGCCTGCCCTGAAAGACCTCCTGAAGGAAGCACTAAACATGGAAAGGAACAACCGGTACCAGCCACTGCAAAAACATGCTAAATTGTAAAGACCATCAAGGCTAGGAAGAAACTGCATCAACTAACAAGCAAAACAATCAGGTAACATCATAATGACAGGATCAAATTCACACATGACAATACTAACCTTAAATGTATGTGGACTAAATGCTCCAATGAAAAGACACAGACTGGCAAATTGGATAAAGAGTCAAGACCCATTAGTGTGCTGTATTCAGGAGACCCATCTCATGTGCAGAGACACACATAGGCTCAAAATAAAGGGATGGAGGAAGATCTGCCAAGCAAACGGAAAACAAAAAAAGGCAGGGGTTGCAATCCTAGTCTCGGATAAAACAGACTTTAAACCAACAAAGATCAAGAGAGACAAAGAAGGCCATTACATAATGGTAAAGGGATCAATTCAACAAGAAGAACTAACTATCCTAAATATATATGCACCCAATACAGGAGCACTCAGATTCATAAAGCAAGTACTTAGTGACCTACAAAGTGACTTAGACTCCCACACAATAGTAATGGGAGACTTTAACACCCCACTGTCAACATCAGACAGATCAATGAAACAGAAAGTTAACAAGGATATCCAGGAATTGAAGTCAGTTCTGCACCAAGCAGACCTAATAGACATCTACAGAACTCTCCACCCCAAATCAACAGAATATACATTCTTTTCAGCACCACACCACACCTGTTCCAAAACTGACCACATACTTGGAAGTAAAGCACTCCTCAGCAAATGTAAAAGAACAGAAAGTATAACAAACTGTCTCTCAGATCACAGTGCAATCAAACTAGAACTCAGGATTAAGAAACTCACTCAAAACCGCTCAACTACATGGAAACTGAACAACCTGCTCCTGAATGACTACTGGGTACATAACAAAATGAAGGCAGAAATAAAGATGTTCTTTGAAACCAACAAGAACAAAGACACAACATACCAGAATCTCTGGGACACATTCAAAGCAGTGTGTAGAGAGAAATGTATAGCACTAAATGCCCACAAGAGAAAGCAGGAAAGATCTAAAATTGACACCCTAACATCACAATTAAAACAACTAGAGAAGCAAGAGCAAACACATTCAAAAGCTAGCAGAAGGCAAGAAATAACTAAGATCAGAGCAGAACTGAAGGAAATAGAGACACAAAAAGCCCTTCAAAAAATCAATGAATCCAGGAGCTGGTTTTTTGAAAAGATCAACAAAATTGATAGACCACTAGCAAGACTAATAAAGAAGAAATGAGAGAAGAATCAAATAGATGCAATAAAAAATGAAAAAGGGGATATCACCACCGATCCCACAGAAATATAAACTACCATCAGAGAATACTAGAAACACCTCTACACAAATAAACTAGAAAATCTAGAAGAAATGGATAAATTGCTCAACACACACACTCTCCCAAATCTCAACCAGGAAGAAGTTGAATCTCTGAATAGACTAATAACAGGCTTTGAAATTGAGGCTATAATTAATAGCTTACCAACCAAAAAAAGTCCAGGACCAGATGGATTCACAGCCGAATTCTACCAGAGGTACAAGGAGCAGCTGGTACCATTCCTTCTGAAACTATTCCAATCAATAGAAAAAGAGGGAATCCTCCCTAACTCGTTTTATGAGGCAACCATCATCCTGATACCAAAGCCTGGCAGAGATGCAACAAAAAAAAGAGAATTTTAGACCAATATCCTTGATGAACATTAATGCAAAAATCCTCAATAAAATACTGGCAAACCGAATCCAGCAACACATCAAAAAGCTTATCCACCATGATCAAGTGGGCTTCATCCCTGGGATGCAAGGCTGCTTCAACATACGAAAATCAATAAACGTAATCCAGCATATAAACAGAACCAATGACAAAAACCACATGATTATCTCAATAGATGCAGAAAAGGCTTTTGACAAAATTCAACAACACTTCGTGCTAAAAACTCTCAATAAATTAAGTATTGATGGGACATATCTCAAAATAATAAGCGCTTTCTATGACAAACCCACAGCCATATCATACTGAATGGACAAAAACTGGAAGCATTCCCTTTGAAAACTGGCACAAGACAAGGATGCCCTCTCTTACCACTCCTATTCAGCATAGTGTTGGAAGTTCTGGCCAGGGCAATCAGGCAGGAGAAGGAAATAGAGGGTATTCAATTAGGAAAAGAGGAAGTCAAATTGTCCCTGTTTGCAGATGACATGATTGTATATCTAGAAAACCCCATTGTCTCAGCCCAAAATCTCCATAAGCTGATAAGAAACTTCAGCAAAGTCTCAGGATACAAAATCAATGTGCAAAAATCACAAGCATTCTTATGCACCAATAACAGAGAGCCAAATCATGAGTGAACTCCCATTCATAATTGCTTCAATGAGAATAAAATACCTAGGAATCCAACTTACAAGGGATGTGAAGGACCTCTTCAACGAGAACTTCAAACCACTGCTCAAGGAAATAAAAGAGGACACAAACAAATGGAAGAACATTCCATACTCATGGATAGGAAGAATCAATATCGTGAAAATGGCCATACTGCCCAAACTAATTTATAGATTCAATGCCATCCCCATCAAGCTACCACTGACTTTCTTCACAGAATTGGAAAAAACTACTTTAAAGTTCCTATGGAACCAAAAAAGAGCCCGCATTGCCACGTCAATCCTAAGCCAAAAGAACAAAGCTGGAGGCATCATGCTACCTGACTTCAAACTATACTACAAGGCTACAGTAACCAAAACAGCATGGTACTGGTACCAAAACAGAGATATAGACCAATAGAACAGAACAGAGCCCTCAGAAATAATCCCACACATATGCAACCATCTGATCTTTGACAAACCTGACAAAAACAAGCAATGGGGAAAGGATTCCCTATTCAATAAATGGTGCTGGGAAAACTGCCTCGCCACATGGAGAAAGTTGAAAGTGGATGCCTTCCTTACACCTTATACAAAAATTAATTCAAGATGGATGAAAGACTTAAATGTTAGACCTAAAACCATAAAAACCCTAGAAGAAAACCTAGGCAATACCATTCAGGATGTAGGCATGGGCAAGGACTTCATGTCTAAAACACCAAAAGCAATGGAAACAAAAGCCAAAAGTGACAAATGGGATCTAATTAAGCTAAAGAGTTTCTGCACAGCAAAAGAAACCACCGTCAGAATGAACAGGCAACCTACAGAATGGGAGAAAATTTTTGCAACCTATTTATGTGACAAAGGGCTAATATCCAGAATCTACAATAAACTCAAACAAATTTACAAGAAAAAAACAAACAACCCCATCAAAAAGTGGTCGAAGGATATGAACAGACAATTCTTAAAAGAAGACATTTATGCAGCCAAAAAACACATGAAAAAATGCTCATCATCACTGGCCATCAGAGAAATGTCAATCAAAACCACAATGAGATACCATCTCACACCAGTTAGAATGGCAATCATTAAAAAGTCAGGAAACAACAGGTGCTGGAGAGGATGTGGAGAAATAGGAACACTTTGACACTGTTGGTGGGACTGTAAACTAGTTCAACAATTGTGGAAATTGGTGTGGCGATTCTTCAGGGATCTGGAACTAGAAATACCATTTGACCCAGCCATCCCATTACTGGGTATATATCCAAAGGATTATAAATCATGCTGCTATAAAGACACATGCACACGTATGTTTATTGCGGCACTATTCACAATAGCAAAGACTTGGACCCAACCCAAATGTCCAACAATGATAGACTGGATTAAGTAAATGTGGCACATATACACCGTAGAATACTATACAGCCATAAAAAAGGATGAGTTCATGTCCTTTGTAGGGACATGGATGAAGCTGGCAGCCATCATTCTCAGCAAACTATCGCAAGGACAAAAAACCAAACACCGCATATTCTCACTTATAGGTGGGAATTGATCAATGAGTACACATGGACAGAGGAAGGGGAACATTACTCACCAGGGCCTGTTGTGGGGTGGGGGGAGCGGGGAGGGATAGCATTAGGAGATATACCTAATGTAAATGATGAGTTAATGGGTGCAGCACACCAACATGGCACATGTATATATGTAACAAACCTGCACATTGTGCACATGTACCCTAAAACTTAAAGTATAAAAAGACGAAAAAGAAATAGCTAGTAAAATGAATAATGACACTAATGACACTAAGTAGAACAGAAGCATGAAAAAAAGTTTTCCTCCTGGCTCATTTGAGAGAAAAACATACACATAAATGAAGAGGTACTGATTGTGATAATCATCAGTGAAGAATTTTGTTACTTATATTCTTCCTTTATATTATGTTGATTTATAAATGCTAATCATCTTAAGCATTATTTGCTTATAATGACATTCATATTTTTTAGATTACAAAAGACTACAAAAAGAACTGCATTTGAAAAAAAAAAGAATGATTTCACAGTGTGTCAGATTCTAAATTTAGTAATTAAAGTAATTTAAAAGAAAGTACAGGCCCGCGTGGGGGCTCACACCTGTAATCCTAGCACTTTGGGAGGCTGAGGCAGGCAGATCACGAGGTCAGGAGTTCAAGACCAGCCTGACTAACATGGTGAAACCTCGTCTATACTAAAAATACAAAAATTAGCCGAGTGTGGTGGCACGTGCCTATAATCCCAGCTACTCAGTAGGCTGAGGCAGGAGAATTGCTTGAACCTGGGAGGTGGAGGTTGCAGTGAGCCGAGATTGCGCCACTGAACTCCAGCCTGGGCAACACAGCAAGACTCCATCTCCAAAAAAATAAAAAAAAAAAAAAAAAAGAAAGAAAGAAAGTACAATTTATTCTTTTTTTAAATTGTCATCCTGGACAAGTTACTTAATCTCCATGTGCCTTTGTTGTCTGACCTGTAGCTTGCAGATAATAACAACATATAATCTTGTTGGGAAGATTAAATGGATACGTGTTTGCAAAGCTTAGATTACAGTATGGTGCCTAATATTAAATACATTTAAGTGTTACTGAATAAACCAATTTATTATTTTAAAGACTAGATTTAAACAATAGTTTACAACCCTAATTTATATATTCAACACGTAATTATGCTTACAATGTAAAATTTCATCCTACACACACAATATTTCAAAAAGAAAATGATAGAAACATCTGTCCTTCAAAAAATACCTGTCTTTAATATCTAGTGAGAGAGAATGAAGAATATAGGCAATTGTAATTCTGTCTAATGAGTACTATAATAGAGGTGTTCAAATATTATAGAAACAGACAGGAATCAATCTGTCTACAAGTACTTTGATTTTTCCATCAATCAGGGGAACCCTTTAACTCAAAGAATTAAAAATATTAATGAATGTTTATTTTAGATACCCCTATAAAACAAAGAAGTAAGGTATGCTACTTCACATTTTACAACAGGCATTCCCAGACTTTTGCTCATTAGAATTTCACTGTGTTGCTAATGTTTGTTTCACAGTTAAGAGAATTAGCATGCAGCAAAACATAGCACTTTTCCAGGGCTGGCAATCAGGTTTCTAGACTTCAAGTTTTCAGATCTTTCTTTTCAATACTGATGACAAAATTGCTGTTTTAATTCCCTGTGATATTTTCAATATTAATTATTCAAATGTTAAATATGTTAATATTAAAATATTAACAGTAAATATGCTCTATTCATATCTAATTTTTAAAAATTTGATAATGTTGGACAACTATCATGGTTGGTTCTACCTTCGAAATAAAAGAAAATGTGTTTTACCTCAAAAGTAAATAAAAATTAACCAATTCTCAGGTATTTTTTGAGTACCTACTAGTTATTGCTATTCTAAGTAAAATAGAAGATAAAAAAAAAACCAGGAAACATTTGTTGTAAAAGGGCTTAATATACCAGAGGAAAAAAAAGATAATACTTTCTTTTAAAAATGGGCAAATAATCACATATTGTGAATAGGCAAATTTGAGGAAATATCTAAAAGCATAAATGCCACAGAACATTATGTATTCTTAGAGATCCAATCCCTTATTCTTATGCCCAACTTCCTCATTCAAGAGATATTAAATCTGGTAATTTTTATTGTGCTTCCTCTTGGTGCCCAGCATGATTCTACCTGCTTTACTTTGAAAATTGAATACTTTCACAATGACCTTACAAAGCAGGTGCTATTGTCTTTATTATATATATAAGAATACTTGACTTCAATAACAGTAGTACCCGCTCCTTGCTCCATGTCATCTAACTGCCAAATAGAGATGAGATGTTTCAGATTTCAAAGTTTCTGCTTTTTCTGCTAGTCAGTCTCCCCTGGAAGGGGAAAAGTAGAAAATCAATATTGGATTATATAGCATTTATTTATAGTATTACTAGAAGACTTATACTAAAACCTAAATTATAGAACACATTCAAATAAAATATCTTATATATTTGCAAATCGATTTTTTTCATGGGATGAGGTTAGCACGGGGAATTGAAAGTTGGCACCATGCTTTTTCTGCACACATAAGAGCTACTTTCAAAACAATGGTGATGCACCTGCAATCTTTTTCAGTGATCTGACAAATCTGTATTTATAGTACTCTATAAAGAGTACAGTGATAACTGTACTGCACTGGTGAGCTAAAACACTTCAGTCATATTATCGGGTTGTCCCAACTTATCTGAAAAATAGCATTTGTGTGCTCAATGTACAAAGAAGGGTTGTCAAACTAGATGCAAACGTTACAATAGGATTTCTTGCCTTGACAGGGTAACTGCACAAGGGACCAAATATTATGACTCACTAAGGAGCAATAAACAGCAGAGAGATAAAATAACAACACTGTCAATCAAGGGCAGCAGTTTCTCTGGGAATTTTTAAACATTCTTATTTTTCATATTAAAATCTATTGGTTCTTGACGTTTGAAAACCTTCTTTAGTTTTTTTCAATATATATAAACCAGCGAATAATGAGCTCATATCTTTCCAAAAGGTTGAATAGAGATGATAAAAAAAAATACAGAAGATTGATGGCAATCAGTCCTTTCACAAGGTACCAGTAATACAGCATAGTTGACAAAACATCTAGCCGGCTGCCTTTCCACCAAGGCCTGGCAGTCAGAAAGGTGAATGCCCCCACCGACCCTCTAAGCTCTGTCCACCACTACCAGTGATTGACTGTTCCTCCGCAGCCCATGGGTTGTGCGTTATGTGGTCCTCCAGAGGGTAGGACCTAGGGCCATTTGAGCAGCGATTTCTGGACAGAGTGAGTGGTGAAGGCATAGTCTCCTAGTGGTGGGAGCTGTTGGCTTTCAGGAAATGCATCTTATGTAAGGCGGAGCAGCTGGAGAAGGGATGTGACACAGTTCTCTCACATGCAGGGCCTAAGGCAAGAATCCTGAGTGCCCAGATCTAAAGGCGATGGTACAAAGGGATAAATCCAGGTTATGTGAGCCCTGAAGTTTATGAAATCTGGAGGGATCTCAAAACACATACACACACACCCACACACACACACATACACACACACACACACACACACACGAGAAAAGAAGGAAAAATTTCCAGGATTGCTTCTAGGGCTTTATGTGGGGCCCATTGTAAAGCTGACCCCTGAAGATTAAACTTCCTCAGTGGTACAGCTAATGCATTCCTGCTACCAGGGTGAAAGGTAGCGGGTAGTGGTACTCGGTCAGAGGAGCTTTAAGGAGATTTAATTGGCTTTAGAGACTAGCAAATTGGCCCACAAGTGATCTTTTCAAAGGTCTCCTTCTGGGCCAGTATTCTGTAGTTCCCTAGTCATGGGTGCATGAGAGTCCTTTGCCCCTCTTTATGGGGGTATCCTCATCCTCCAGATAATTCACAAAAACACTACAGCCTCCCTGACTAACTCTAGAGTCCTAGATGGTGCTGCTTTCACAGCTGGCCAGCGATTTTTCACCCTCGAGGTTTTCTGGGCAGTCTGCTTAAGTTTCTCAGGCATGAATCCACATCTGTCCCTTGTGCTTCCAACTGCAGAGAACACATTTGAAGCACTGAATGATTCTTCTGAAAATCCACTATAGACTTGAGGTTAGAAAGTTTCTCCTCCCATCCCTAACTTCCTCCAAAAGCTGTGGAAGAGACCTATATTTAGGCAACAGCTTTCACCATGGAAATCTTATCTCCTCACTGATCTCCTCAGATGCTGCTTCCACCCTTGAATTGACCAAAATCATGAAACACTAGCCGTTTCTTTTGAATGCCTGCATGAGGAAGAAGGCTGTTTCCTAATCATAGTATTATCCTGATATTTATCCTAGCCATGCCTCAGTATTGAATTTTTTAAATGGAAGAATTTGAAGGCACGAAGTGATGGAGGGTAAATGAAGGAAAATTGTTAGTAAAGAATCATAAGAATTTACATAAGAACCTAAGTGGAATTTACTTATATTGTGGACATTTTCAGTGAAAATCAATGACAATGATTCAGACAGGAATTTTATGCAAAGTGCATTTATGTGTGTGTGTGTGTGCATGTTACACTTATAGTTCAACTGATATAATACTCAACATAAATTAAAAGAATATCATGACTCTCCATTCATTAAACTATTACTAATTCAAGATAACATGTTAGGATTTCCACAATATTATATATTTAACATAATTACAATTAGTAATAAAGATAATTTCTCATTTTCATCCTTATTGCAAATACTTAGTAATGTATTATAAGTTATTAGTTTAATAACTATATTTAACTTGCCAAGGTTCATAAATACATATTGACACAGTTCTCTTTTCACATTTCTCCACTCCCAATGCCAGCAACCTAGTGCAAGCTACTATCAGCAATCACCTAAATGTTCTCACTGTAGCCACTCAGTCTATCCTCCATTTACTAATGTGCTGATAAATATTTAACTAGCTCTCCAGGGGAGGAGGAAAGTCCTCATTTATAGAATTTCCCAATGCTATGATGTAAATACACCCACCATGGCTGATTTCAAACTTTCACTGTGAAATCACTGAATCTAGAGCTGGGGAGAACTGCTATCAAATTGGCTCTCCCAAGTCGGCTCCATTTCACCATTACCCCAACCACATCTAATTCGTTCTCTATAACAAACAAAGAGAAAGTTTTCAAAAGGCAAATCTAACCATGTCACTTGGCCCTGCTAACATGATTTGGCTTCCTTTTCCTCCCACGAGCCTTCCTTCAATTTCTCCACACTCCCATCCATCACAGAACACTTTAAGAAGCTATTTTGTTTTTTCAGTTAGTTAACTAATAGCCTGTGGATGTTAGCTCGAGAGTCACCTCCTCAGGGACGTTTTACCTGACCTCCTTGGCTATGTTACAACTTCTTACTACAGCCCTTATAATGAGATACACATCTACATTATAGCCACAGCTACACTTTTGCATTTTTTTTTTTTTTTTGAGAGGGAATCTTGCTCTGTCACCAGGCTGGAGTGCAGTGGCGCAATCTCGGCTCACTGCAACCTCCACCTCCCAGGTTCAAGTGATTCTCCTGCCTCAGCCTCTCAAGTAGCTGGAACTATAGGCGTGCGCCACCACGCCCAGCTAATTTTTGTATTTTTAGTACAGAAGGGATTTCACCTGCTTTTCAACACAAAACCCCTAGCACTATGCAGAGTGCCAAAAACAAAGCAGACACTGAAGAATTACCTATTTTTGATAAATTAACAAATAAATATCTGCCTAAAAGCATAAATAAATATGTTCTCCTGAAGATTGTTAAAGGAAAATTGGAGATCAGCTAGTAATATTATTCTTTGATATGTCTCCAATATAACCACAGAGTTTGTGTAACAACTTTAGAGAGTCTAAAGAGGTGACCTTAGAGAGAGTACTTAACTGTTCCAAATCTAACATATACTATTCATTCAGATAAATAAACAAACAGAGCTGACAAAACTTTAAGCCTGTGTGTTAAGTACCCTCTAAGAATAAAATAGGTTAGTGTTAGCAATTCTTTAAAAATGAGACGTTTGTACTAAATGATAATGTCTGTTACCTTTCAGAAGGAGCTTACAGAACCTACTTCATGACAAGAAACTGAAGCATTACAAAGAGGTATTGAAACTTGGAGAGAATGACAATATGTTTAAGTAATGCTTCATCTATGCAAGAGTAAACAATAAATCAAATCTATTCCTAAGGTTAGATTTATTTATATAAAATAATATAAAAATGTGGAAATGGACAAAGAAGTAATAGAATAATTTTTCTTTTACCTCTGCATTTCTAACTTTACAATGGTCACAAAAATCCCTTCATTCAGACATTGAGTTATGGTATGTACAGAATATTTGCATTTCAACAAGCACATTTCTAAAAAAGTATTAATACAAAATATAATCCAAAGCCAATCATGGTTATTCTTTCATTCTCTTCAGAGTTTGAGTTCTATGTACATTTCATGAAATGCTCATTTACATAGAACTGACTTGAGAAATGTAGAGTTTTGAGGAACATGCTGAGTGTAGCTGGATACTTGGTTATACTTTTAACAGTAGGATTTTTATAAATTTATAATTCCCCTCTGTATGTCCATGTGTGCCCATTATTTAGCTCCCAATTATTACGTATGGATATGTGGTATTTGATTTTCTGAGTTATTTCACTTAGGATAATGACCTCCAGCTCCATCCACGTTGCTGAAAAGACATGATTTCACTCTTTTTTATGGTGTATATATACCACATTTTCTTTATCCAACCATCTGTTGAGGGCACTTAGGTTGATTTCATGACTCTGCTATTGTGAACAGTCACTCTCAAAGCTTTGACCCCAGCATTCTATGCTTATGATTAAATATTTGAAAATTGTACACTCTTTTTGGATTACATAGATTATTCTATTTTTTAAAAAGTTTATCCTTTCTATGGTATTCTGAGTTACATACCAAACTAAACTCAGAAGTGAAGTAAAATCCCCACCTTTGTTTTCTGAATTAAGATGAATTTTAGATATTGCAGGAAGTGGAAAGCTCTGGTCCTCCGCCACTGTAATGAGCAATGTAGCTTTCCTTCTTAACGATTTAGTTAGTTTCTCCCTATCACCTGCTATGCTGAAAAATTTATACTTCATTCCTAGTAGGAGTTCCTAATTCTTGTTTCTCCTTATCAAATGTCTAAAAACTAATAAATACATGAGAATATTTAATAAAAAAAGTCAAAAGTAAAATATTTATCATCAGAATATAACTAAACATTGGTTAGATAATACAAATATCTCAGTCATAAAATGTTTCTTACCTTCTAAAGTGATGTAATTATATATTACATATTCTTTCTTATGTACAATCTTACATATTCTGAGATGACTATTTCAGTTATTCTTAGCAATGAATTTACTGGGTTCTGAATCAGATGACTCTATGAATCCTATATTTCAAAGACTCAATGATTTATGAATTTATATGTGAAGACTGTAAAATTCAAGGGGAAAATTTACTTAAAGAAGTAATTCCATCCAAAATTAAAAAGAAATATTTGTTATCCAAAGACAGTGTCTCAACTTTCAGCATTAGTATTATATTGGCGGGTGATTATTTTATGTCTACTATTTTTTTTTTTGAGATGGCGTTTTGCTCTTGTCACCCAGACTGGAGTGCAGTGACACAATCTTAGCTCACTGCAACCTCTGCCTCCCAGGTTCAAGTGGTTCTCCTGCCTCAGCCTTGCAAGTAGCTGGGATTACAGGTGACTGCCACCATGCCTGGCTAATTTTTTTGTATTTTTAGTAGAGACAGGGTTTCACCATGTTAGCCAGGCTGGTCTCAAACTCCTGACCTCAAGTGATCCGCCCGCCTCGGCCTCCCAAAGTGCGGGATTACAGGTGTGAGTCACCACGTCCAGCCCTATCTAGTATTTTTTTTTTCTTATGGGAAATCCAAAATACACAAAACTGATATCATAAGGGCATTAGTAACACCATTTATAAACAGTTGATGTGGCTATTTAACAAATATATTTGTTGCAAAAAAATTACAAAATTTATATGTTCTTGCATCTCTATTATGTTTTAGGCATTGCATTATGAGGTAAAGTATCTCCCATATTAAAAAGAAACAAATAAACTAAGGTTAAGAAGCTTTATTTATTTATTATTTCTTTTAGAGACAGTCTTGCTTTGTCACCCAAGCTGGAGTAAGGCAGTGGCATGGTCATAGCTCTCTGCAGCCTCAAAATCCTGGGTTCAAATGATCCTTTCCCCTCAGCCTTGTGAGTATCTGGGAGTATAGGTGCAAGCCACAGTGCCCAGGGGTTAAGAAAATTGGTGGGGGTTGGGGGGAAAGAATCTGCCCAATGCCTGGATTCCTAACCACTGTGTTATACTGCCTCTCAATAGCACACCCAGAACAAATAACATAAAATAAAATTAAGTAGGTAAAAAATCATTTAAAATAAGAAATAAAGATACATGCATTATATTTCAGTATATCAATGTTTATGATTTAAATATAATAAAGAATTCTGACTTTTAAAATTAATGGTGATAATAATATTATTACCTATATGGAACATTCATTATTTTGACACCTCATCTATCTCTGCCTTCTTTTATCAATATCACCAATATGTCAATTGTGGAATCACCTTTCCCCTCTAAATTTCATTCTGTGTTCCAGGGCTTGTCATGCAACATCAACAAATTATCTAGTCAATCGCCACCAAATACTTTTGGATATAGTGATTGTTTCAGAATTGCCATGTCAAACAAGGCAAGCTAGTCAAAGCCAATCCAATGACACTCAAATCTGGGTGTTTTGTTTTTTTTTTTTTTTTTTTGCTTTGATTAAAAGGAATGAGAAATTATCTCCTTCCACTGGATTTGTGGAGAAAATGAAAATCAATCCCAGTGGCTGCTGAAGGCAGTAATATCACCACTAGAGGAACCTCCCAGAAAATGAAAAGCCCAGACAGAAGAGTCAAGCAAAAAACATGTAGATAGAGAGAATGACCCTTGATGATATCATTTGAGAACCAAAACTGTACTTGAAGAAATTGCTACCTTTGTACTTTATAAATTACATGAGCCAATAACCACCAGCACTCTTGATTCTTTTTTTCTGAAACCAGTTAGCATTTGGCTTCTGTCACTGGCAAACAAGAGTTTTGAGTTAATCACTGTGCTTGCATTTATACTCTGTTCTTGCCATATGTTCACACCTATCTTTTAATTCTCAAAATAACAGTGTTGGGTATGTAGGACATAAACAATTTCCATTTGATAGATGGCATCATTAAGATTACAACTGAAGATATATTTTAGGAGATATTTAAAATATGGGATATATATACCTTCCAGGTCTGCTGAAATAAGAAAATATAATGGAGACATTAATCAAGTAATTGATAACTGATTGAATATGAGATGTGAGGAAGAAAACATACCAAGATTTTAAAAAAAGAAAAATGATGGTAGCTTTACTTAAATATGGAACAACTTGAGAATTTACGGAGTACTTAGAGGAGATTATTAATTTGTCTTCAGACATATTTACAACAGACTGAAGATCCCAAACCTGAAAATCCCAATGTTCTAAAATCTGAAACTTTTTGAGTGTTAACTTGACAATCAAAGAAAATGCTCATGTTCCATTTCAAATTTCATATTTTTGGATTTAGGATGCTCAACTAATATAATACAAATATTGCAAAATCTGAAAACATCTGAAATCTGAAACACTTCTGCTCCCAAGCATTTTGAATAAGGGACATTCAACCTGCATGACACTTCGGTAGGATGCCTAGTTAGACAAGTCTGATGAACAACTTTAAATATTACATTTGCATTCAGAAGAGCCTTCATGAAAAGAATATATAACCATAAGTCACCCATAATGTTGATAGCTGAAGCTATAGAATGGTCAACATAACTAGAACTTTATGGATTATTAGATTTCAGGTCCTTTCTCAATATCATTTCACATAATACTAACAAAGAGAGTGGTGATATCACCCTAAATAAAAGATAAGGAAATGTGTGTGTGTGTGTGTGTGTGTGTGTGTGTGTGTGTGTGTGTTTTGCAGGAAAACACATTTGAGCTTTCTAATATAATTCAATTGGCAAACATGATGCAATTATCTATTAGACAAAAATGGCTTTTGGAACTTAAAAATTAAGACTATATGAAGAGCAGTTAAATTAACTGACTTTTAGATTGTATTAAAACTGAATTAAAATCATTATTTTCTAAATTGGTCAGTGTTTCTTCCCTCTATAATAAGAATATTAATACTGAATATCTTCATGCAATCAAATATATACATTGCCCTATTCACAAACAGTATCAAGCACAATTATGCCTTAAGAGCTTATTATCTAGTAAAAAGACATACAAGAAGCAAATAACTATAACACAGTGTAATCCAATGGAGAAAAATGGTAGGTACATCAAGATATATCTTCCGCCTTACTCCTACGGTGGTCAGCCCAAAATCCTTGGCAGCCCCTTATATCACCTAATCACTAACCAGAAACCTTAAAGGAGGCATGATACTATTTCTCACTGAAAAATACTCAGCAGGTTTTTTCCTTTTCATGTATTTAATATATAAGCAGAAATAATCCCCATTTATTTAATATTTGACATCTACATAAGCTTACATTTATCATCATGAACTTAAGCCTCTTTAGTCATTATAAGAGTACAAGTTTATCATTTATATAATAGAAGATCAAATTTTAATTTAAATTAAAGCTTGAACTGTTTAAATGGAAAAAATATGAAAACACTAAAATAGTATAAAGTTCAAATTTGTTCTAATTTAGTAAAAATATTTTAAAATAATAACTTACATTCCTTATAAAAATGCAAACCAACTTTAAAAACTTTATATTAAAAACTGATTTCATTTTATATCATTAAAGCCTACAGCTTATATAGTAAGCAATCCAAGAACAGTGTACCCACAATCACAGAGTAGGGAAATAAAGTACATCAGCCTACTTGCCCATGTCCTTAAGATAAGGTAACAAAATGAAACTTGAATGACACATGGTTCAAAGACATGAAGTTAGGAGACACAGAAGTTAATTCATTAAGATAATATAGAATAGATGATTTTTTAACCCATAAAATTTATTTCTTCTTTCTTTATACTAATATTAACACATTTATTATAAATCACATTTTCTTATCAGTTATCTAATTGATTTTACAAGGCCTTGAAAAATTAAATGAACAACTCACTGTTTGGAAGGCTCAGGAAATTCTGGTTCTTCTCTTTTCTTCATTTCTATCATTGGTTCCATAGGAGTAAGAACTACTGCGGCACATGAGACGACAGAGTGATATGAGTCCTCCCGGCAAACTGTTCAAAAAAACCGAGGAATTGTAAATGTCAAAATTATTTATGAACTAGTCTCACATCTCCTTTTTCCCCTTTCTATATTTAGTCTAATAAAAGATCTAATTCTAATAAAACATTAATTATTAAATTATCCTTAAATATTTTCTGCTCTAAGTCTTTTCACTCACTAGCTATATGACCTTGGGCAATTTTTCTTTTTTAAATCCCAGGGTGGAAAAGGTATTGCCAACAGTTTATAGTCCTTCTCTAAAAAAGCTTTTCATCAAAGAATGAAAAGTGCTTAAGTTATACATAAACAGTTAAATGAATCTTTGCAACATGACCACACCTGCTAAGTCAGCATCAAGATCAATAAACAGTGCATCACCAGCACCCTAAATCCTCCTGTGGTACCCCTTCCCAAACACTACTGGAACCTCTGAACTTAACCATTATCATCATTTATAGAACCATAAATAAGTTTTGCCTATTTCTGACCTTTACACAAATGGGATCATATTCTTTTGTGAGCATATTCTTTTCTTTTTTTTTTTGGTTTTGTTTTGTTTTTTGAGACGGAGTCTCGCTCTGTCTCCCAGAGTGGAGTGCAGTGGCACGATCTTGGCTCACTGCAACCTCCGCCTCCCAAGTCCAAGGGATTCTCCTTCCTCAGCCTCCCGAGTAGCTAGGATTACAGGCGCCCGCCACCGTGTCAGCTAATTTTTGTATTTTTAGTAGAGATGGGATTTTGCCAGGTTGGCCAGGCTGGTCTTGAACTCCTGACCTCGAGATCGGCCCGCCTCAGCCTCCCAAAGTGCTGGGATTACAGGCATGAGCCACCAGCCAGGCCCTTTTTTATTTTTTATTTTTTTAGAAGGAGTCTCGCTCTGTCACCCAGGCTGGAGAGCAGTGGCATGATCTCAGCTCAACACAACCTCTGCCTCCTGGGTTCAAGTGATTCTCCTACCTCAGCCTCCCAAGTAGCTAGGACTACAGGCGCACTATCATGCCAAGCTAATTTTTGTATTTTTTAGTAGAGACGGGGTTTCACCATGTTGGCCAGGATGGTCTTGATCTCTTGACCTCATGATACGCCCACCTCCACCTCCAAAGTGCTGGGATTACAGACATGAGCCACTGCACCCGGCCCACGCATATTCTTTTATGTGTTTTTTATTTCATTCAATGTGTGATTATAAGATTCATCTATGTCTAGTAGTAGCTGGTTCATTCTCATAGCTGTGTGGCTTTCCACTGGTGAATATACCACGATTTATTTATACATTTCGTTAATAATGAACACAAGCTATTTTCAGTTTGGGGCTATTTCAATTGTCTATGAACATTCTTGTACTTTTTTAAACAGTGCACAAACTTATTTATATTGGAAAAATATCAATAAGCTGTAATCGTTTCTAGGATATAGTCATGTTTTATGTTCTGCTTTAGTAGTCACTGCCAAATACAACTCAGAACTGTCTGTACTAATTTGCATTACCAACAATAGAGAAAGAGTTTCAGTTGTTTCACATCCACACCAACACTTGGTTTTGTCACTTTTTTCTTATTAAAGTTTTAATATTATATTAATTTTCTATTGTAGCATAAAAAATTAACACAAACTTAGGAGCTTAAAACAATATCCATTAATCATTTCACAGTTCTAGAGATCAGAAGTCCAGATGGGCTCAACTGGGTTCCCTGATTAGGGTCTTACAAGGCCAAAATCAAGGTATCAATGAATCTGGGCTCTTATCTAATGTCTCTGTGTGAATAATCCACTTCCAGACTTACTCAGGTTCACAGAATTTACCTCCTTCCAGTAGCAGGATTCAAGGCTCCTTTTACCTTGCTAGCTGTTGTGACGAGGGACCACTCTGAGCTTCTAGGGCTACTCACAGGTTCATGGCCTATGGCCCATCCATCTCAGCAGTGGGGAACATCCTTCACATTGAAGCCCTCTCATGCTTTAAATATCTCTGATTTCTTCTTTTGCTACCAACTAGGGAAAAAACATTCTTTCTGCTTTTAAAGGGCTCATGTGAGGCCTACCCACATTATTTCCTTTTTGATTAACTGAAAGTCAACTTATTAGTAGCCTTAATTACATCTGCAAAATCCTTTTTGCCAACTGATAATCACAGCAGTGATGCCCTATCATCTTCCCAGTAAATAAAAATTAAGGGCTGGAGTCACGTGTCATCTTAGAATTCTGCCTACCAAAGCCATTCTTTTAAGTGTGTAGTGCAGTATGGCATTGTTACTTCAATTTATATATTCCTGATAATGAATGAAATTGAATATATATACTGTATATTCAGTCCTCTTTTTACATGGTTCTAATATGCAAAAACTTCACTTACATGGTTTAGTTAAATAACATCAGTCACTCCCCAAAAACAGGGTTCAAACTGAAGTTCACATGGTATATCAACTGTGAGTAATTGTATAAAGTACAAACTTCTTTACTAGCACTTCAGTACACAAACCACTATGTAAACAAAAGAGGTACATCATGATCAGTGACACACACACATCACTTCTTTCAAATTCTGTCAATTATTGATAACTAGGCATTACTTATTCAGTTCAAGCACATAAATAATAATGTGTACTTGCATTGCTTCCTTGTCTCCCCGTGATTAATTTATGTGACATTTTATAAAAAATAGACCAGGTAAGGAAAAAATTTGCCAATGAAAATGAAAGTAGAGAAAAGAAATAAAAACTGATAGTGAAACCCTGTCTCTACTAAAAATACAAAAAATTAGCCAGGCATGGTGGCACACGTCTGTAGTCCCAGCTACTCAGGAGGCTGAGGCAGGAGAATTGCTTGAACCGGGGAGGCTGAGGTTGCAGTGAGCCGAGATCAGGCCACTGCACTGCAGTATGGGTGACAGAGCAAGACTGCACCTCAAAAAAAAAAAAAAAAAAGAACACGGAAAGTGCTGCCTGGGCGCGGTGGTTCACACCTGTAATCCCAGCACTTTGGGAGGCAGAGGCGGTGGTTCACACTTGTAATCCCAGCACTTTGGGAGGCAGAGGTGGGCAGATCACAAGGTCAAGAGATTGAGACCATTCTGGTCAACATGGTGAAAGCCTGTCTCTAATAAAAATACAAAAATTAGCTGGATGTGGTGGCACGTGCCTGTAATCCCGGCTACTTGGGAGGCTGAGGCAGGAGAATCACTTGATCCAGGGAGTTGGAGGTTGCAGTGAGCCGAGATCACACCACTGCACTCTAGCCTGGCCACAGGGCGAGACCCCGTCTCGAAAACAAAATGGATACTGCTGATGTGACATTTGAATCAAATATAAAAACTGAGTACAACAAACAGAAACACTCAAATTTTAATTACTCCATTATTTAATTGCACTTAAAAAGTTAATAATGCATAAAAAATTTTATTCACATATTAATTTTATAAAGGTTAATTATGGAACAGCAGACAATTATAATGTAATATAAAAAACATGAGACAGTGTCAAGCCATTCCATATTCAAATAGATTTGCAGCATCCATGGGTTGAAAAATCAATAATACATTTTTCCCGATTATTTCCAACCATAGATATAAATAACAGTTTGAGGCAACAACATAAAAACCTATATGCTAAATTTGCTCTTCTGTGAAAAGAATTTTTGTTGTTAATGTATTGCATGAAGTGCAGAATATTCCGTCTTAGGCTTCTGTCACTAGAGAGTGTCAGAGCAAGGATACCTGGAAAATAAAAGTCCCCATGTGTTTCTAGACAGATGAGGCCTTTTGGCCAAGATCAGGGTCACTAAACAACTACTGGAACTGTACCTAGTAGAAGTCATTTATCAGCAACCATCAGTTGATAAGAAAAGGATGATTCAGGCCTGAGAAACCGATGTTTAATTATACAAATAGGGACTTTAAAATAAGAAAAAATACTTGATAGTCACAAAAATTGCTTATCCTAAAACTTGGTTCTAAGCACTAGTCTTATTTATTTCTAGATAGTTATTAAATATATAAACAACAAAATGAACAAGCCTTCCAGGGACCACTCAGTCAGAAATCTGCAAACCTCAGGGCAGAGTAGAAATCATTTTTAGCTTTGAAATGAAGTAGTCTGACCTTGTCATGTAACCTTTTATTACACCACAAAAACTATGCTATTACAGGAAATGACTTTCTATTATTGCTGTATTCCCTAAAATGTTTCTTCCAGATTCATATTAAACTGAGATGCCAAATTTAAACACTAAAATTTTAAATTACTCCTTTTCTCCAGTTTGACTACATCAAAATAATTTTATTTAATAACTGAATTTCTATCGTTTTTTTAATTTATAAAATCATTGTTAAAGCATAAAAAAGCAGTATATTTTATATTTTAATAAATTTCGCAAAACTACTAAGGATTCATCAGAGAGGCATTTTTGTCTTTCATGCAAAATTAAAACATTTAAGTGACTGAAGGTGCCTAGAGTAGTTATAAGTAATGTGTTTTTGATATTCTTGTATTATATTTTATTTATACATATTTATTACATTTGAGATCACCACTCCAATTCACCAAAATAGTTTACTATTAATTGGCAAATTGCAGCCTTAAAAAAAAAGAATTTGCTTTTGACTTGGTAGAGTGTTCACTTTTCCATTTTCTGTTCCAAATATCCAGGATCCATGTATCTACCACATAACAACCCGCTGATAAAGCTTAACCTAGCAAAAGAATACATTATTTAACAAACATTTAAATGACAAGATAGACACAATTCTGCACTAACTGTGCATTTACTCTTACTGTATTGTTTTTACCCTTCAGAAAAGTTCTATGGCATATTGTTATTACTGTCATTGCACTTTTCAAGGTCACACAGCTTGAGTATAGAAAAACCCAAATTTGATCTATTTCTCGCTAGTCCTCATGCTATTGAACATACTTCATGCTGATTCTCATTTAAATATATCAACTGCTCTGAAGTAATAGTGTAAATGTAATAGTTTATCTTTTTCAATTGTTTATACTCAATAATATCCCTACATCTGGATTCTTTATTCTAAGAAAAACTGTGAAAACGTCAAGCAGCCTGGTTTTACAACCACATTATTTAAGACTGTATTTTGTACAACTTTATGATTTAAAGCTAATATCATCTTGAGATTTTTTTAAGATGTGAAAGAATTGCATCAAAATTATCAATATCCTAAAGTAAAAACTTCTTAAAAAATAATCCATATCAGAACATATCACAACTTTGACTCACCATACAAATACTTTGGGTTCTAAGCTCTGTCCTTCAAAATGACTTATAACAATGGTTATAAGTCTATTGACTTATTGTTCTATTGTTCCACTGGAGAATGAGTGTTTTGCATTTGTTTTCCCATTAGTAAACTATGAATAATAATCTTGCACTTGGGTTGTGGTGATGATTAAATGAATTAATGCATGTAAAGTGCTTAGTATAATATCAGGAAAATGATATTCTTTTAAAATGTTAGCAAATATTATTTATAACTGTTTTACTTTATGAGATGGTGTTTTATTATTCGCCCAAGCTGGAGTCTGGTGGCTATTCACAGGTGCAATCATGATGCACTACCCCTCAAAGTCCTGGGCTCAAGCGATCCGCCTGCCTCAGCCTCCTGAGTAGCTGGGACTACAGGTATACACCACCATACCTGGCTGATTTGTTTGTTTGTTTGTTTTATATGTCAACTTGGCTAGGCTACAAGCCCCAATTATTCAAATACTAACCCAAGTGTTGCTGTGAAAATATCTTCTCTACATGTAAAGTCCATAGTCTGTTAGCTTTAAGTGATATTATCCTAGGTAACCTGGATGGGTCTGAGTCAATCAGTTAAAAAAGGCTTAAAGCAGAGTTGAGGCTTCCTGAAGATAGAAATCCCATCCTTGTCAAAAGTTCCCTCCTGCTCTGCCTGATAGTCAGCTCTACATATTTTGGACTTACCTAACCGGTCTCCAAAATCACATACGTTGATTACTTGTTACAAAAACAAATACACAAAAGAAACTTCTTTATATCTTTTACTGGTCTGTTTTCCTGGTTGATAAATACATAAGTAACAATGACATTTTGGTATTGTAAATACCAAAATGAACCAGTAAATATTTACTGAACCAGTAAATATTTCTTTTTAGTGCCTATACAAAGTTTTTTGATGAAATTATATTAATCCAGAATTGAAAGAAGAAATGAAAAAAAAGAAGCAGATAAGATACAAGCCATTGCATCATGACTGTAAATAGCACACATTGAGCAAAAGCAGGCATATATATTCATTCCTTAGTAGCATTAATTGAACTATTCCATATCCAGACACTGTAGTAGGTGCTGAACTTGTGAAGATAAAACATAAAACATTTGCCTTGCAGTAACTTAAAGTGTAGTAGGAGATTGTACCATTTAGGAAGTGTAATCATAGAAGCCAGCCAAGTAAAGTAACTGGCAGGATCAAAACAGTAGGACTGTTGCAGTCTTGTTCACTCCTGTTACTTAGTAGAGTGCCAGGCACAAAAGAGGCACTCAATAATCTTTGGTAAATGAATGAGAGACTGAAGAAAAGTGAAGTGAGGCATGGGGGAAAAGAAAAGATGCTAGCCAAGCACAGGAAAGAGTGTGCTAAAAGGCATTGAGATATGAGAAAATGTTATATATATATTGAGAAATGGAAATAATTCAATGTGATTGGGGCCTAGACAAGACACAAGACACAAGAAGTTAAGGAAGACTGAGCTGGAGGCATAGGTCATCGGCAATACCTTAAACACCTTCTAAACTTAAAAACTTAAAAACATTAGTATTTGATCCTAAAGTTAATGGGAATTGATACCGATCATTAAACAAAGAGCAACATGATCAGCTTTATATATTTTTAAAAATAGCCGGGCCGGGCGCGGTGGCTCACGCCTGTAATCCCAGCACTTTGGGAGGCCGAGGCGGGCGGATCACGAGGTCAGGAGATCGAGACCATCCCGGCTAAAAAACGGTGAAACCCCGTCTCTACTAAAAATACAAAAAATTAGCCGGGCGTAGTGGCGGGCGCCTGTAGTCCCAGCTACTTGGGAGGCTGAGGCAGGAGAATGGCGTGAACCCGGGAGGCGGAGCTTGCAGTGAGCCGAGATCCCGCCACTGCACTCCAGCCTGGGCGACAGAGCGAGACTCCGTCTCAAAAAAAAAAAAAAAAAAAAAAAAAAAAAATAGCCTGGGCAACACCTAAGTACAGGAACAAGACTGAGTGAAACCACTGACAGCACTATTGAAATAAACAAAGTGAGAAATGGTGAGGGCTTCTTATTATTTGAAGTAGCAGTGTAGTGGACTAGAGGGGAAAAAGTCGAGTGCAGAGTATTCAGAAATGTTAACACTTCATTTCAAATATATAGTCACAGTCTATATCTACTTATTTTCTTTATTAAGATGAAATACAATTCTCAGCACATTACAAAATCAGAAAATACAGCCACAGTACAGATGGGTGTGAGAGAAGAGCCATCAAAAGAAGAAAGCAAAGACCTTCAAATTATTAGGAGACAATTTAGTTTACAATTTAAATTTAAAAGTATTCTATACAACCATATTATTTAAGGCTAATATCATCTTGAGATATTTGTTAAGATGTGAAGGAATTGCGTAAAACTGTCAATATCCTGAAGTAAAAACTTCTTAAAATATGAAAAACAGATGAAAATAACTATACCCTGGAAACTCAGACAAAACTATAAAGTGAAAATGAAAATATTAAATTTGGTCAGGCTTACCTCATATCACCCAAATTCTGGTAACTTTGTCGCTGTGTGCCAATAGTAACCTTTCATTTTATGACAGATGGTTGGAATATATCAGGTCTATTATAATTGAAATTGCATATTTTTGACCCATTTAATCTCAGTTTTTTTCTTGCCTTAGTTTTTTTTTTTTTTTTTTTTTGAGACGGAGTTTCGCTCTGTCGCCCAGGCTGGAGTGCAGTGGCGCGATCTCGACTCACTGCAAGCTCCGCCTCCCGGGTTCACGCCATTCTCCTGCCTCAGCCTCCTGTGTAGCTGGGACTACAGGCACGCGCCACCATGCCCGGCTAATTTTTGTATTTTTAGTAGAGACGGGGTTTCACCGTGTTAGCCAGGATGGTCTCGATCTCCTGACCTCGTGATCCGCCCGTCTTGGCCTCCCAAAGTGCTGGGATTACAGGCGTGAGCCACCGCGCCCGGCCGCCTTAGTTTTTGAATAGTTCTTTTCACAAATATTTCGTTGTGAAATTTTTTTCTACAATAAAATTGAAAGCTCACAAGTGATAGAGAAAAATAGCAAAAGTTATGAACTCCATTTGTAAGCTTACCTATCTTATTATTAAAACTCAAAACACTTTAGTATGTTTGGGGCTGGCAAAAAAGTGTCCTTCACTTCAAATATAAGCTGATATAGCCAATGGTGTTCTTGAATGTCAAACATGAAATAAGCATTTATAAAGTCCCTACTAATTGTAAAGTAAAACAAATTATGAATAAAGTGTCATTTATTTTAATAAATAGAAAATTAAGTTAAAATATTGTCATTATGGTGGGCGCTAATCCAGTACGACTGGTGCCCTTTTAAGAAGAAGAGATTACAACACAGGCAGACATAGTGGAAAAAACATCGAAGACACAGAAAGAAGCCATCTAGAAACCATCAGGAGAAGATGTCTAGAGACACAGAAAGAAGCCATCAGGAGAAATCAACTCTACGGACACACTGAATTTGAACTTCTAGCCTCCAGAACTGTGAGATAATAAATGTTTGTTGTTTAAGCCACCAAGACAATAATACCTTTTGTTATGCCAGCCCTAGCAAACTAATTTAAAGAGCATTTTAGGGGGACAGAATTACTTTTACTAATATTAATAATTAAATAAAAAGATCTCAGAGTTCTACTCCAAACTCCCACCTAATGGCTGAATCTACATTGCTACTACTCCTATCCTCTCCCATTCCAAATATCTCTGACAGATGTCCAGTTCATACTTCAATAATTCTAATGCTGGAAAATACGTTACCTTGTCATTATGGTTCCCTCCTTCCCAATGTGACATAAGCTTTTAGTGTATTTAAAACTAGATCGTGTATAGTTGTAAGAATTTGCCTGTGTTTATATCTGTATCTATATATACGTACACACATACACTATCTATATATGTAGATACACATACATACACATGTATGCATATATAACATATATAATATATACTATAAACACATACATATGCATACAATAGATAGCATTAGAAAGAACAGAGTCACAAACAATTATTATTGCTGATAAATTAGCTATTAAAAACTTTATCGGCATTTTCTCCATTGCACAGCCACCAGTTAGAGCAGAAGATGCTACCTAGGTTAAGTGGTTTTCAAGCTTCCATCAAAAGCGATGTGTAAGAACTTTAGCACCACTGGAGGTCTGTGAAGTCCTTCATCACTGACAAAAATTCCACACATAATATTAGAATGGCATCATCATCTGTAGTCTGCTCCTTCTAAGTAGTTCACATAGAAGGTTTATGACTTGTTGTTCATTAAAGATTTCATTTTAATATTGGCAGGACCATTAAAACTTATTGTGGCAAGGCCAGGCATGGTGGCTCACGCCTTTAATCCCAGCAATATGGGGAGCTGAGGTGGGTGGATCACCTGAGGTCAGGAGTTCGAGACCAGCCTGGCCAAAAGGGTGAAACCCTGTCTCTACTCAAAATAAAAAAAAATTAGCCAGGCATGGTGGCACATGTCTGTAGTCCCAATTGCTCAGGAACTGAGGCAGGAGAATTGCTTCAATGCAGGAAGTGGAGGTTGCAGTGAGCCAAGATGGTGCCACTGTACCCCAGCCTGGGCAACAGAGCAAGATTCCATCTCAAAAAAAAAAAACTTATTGTGGCAGACTCTATTTTCTAAAGATGGCAGCAGTGGTCCATGTGGAGTGGTGGCTGTGAAGATGCTGGTTGCAGTGTGGGAGGTGTAGCTGGGGCGGTGCACTCCATGGAGCAGGTGGAAGGAGGAACAGGTGGAGGCCCTGCCCCCTTACAAGTTGGAGGGGCTCTCCTAAGAGCCGCAGCAAACCAGCTGCGGCTATGGACTCAGGAATTCCTGAGCTCTTGAGGGCCCAGGAATTCCCCTGATCTCAGCAGGCTCCTGCTGCCTGAAATTTCCCTGATTCTGGTGCCCTCTCCAATTTTGGAGCACAGTTGTGACAAAGCCTGGGCACGGCCATGACCCTGCTGGGTATGCACATGCTCAGGGTGGCACCGACACACCAGAACCCTGCTGTCTCGAGCCCCTCTGGACATTGGGTGCTGATAAGCATGGGAGGGACGGCAAAGAGAAGGTTGGCATGGGTCTGCAGGCTGTGGATGGCAGGTTGATGATGGCAGAAAGCAGATAGGCTCCTGGGTGGAAAGAGGTGGGTCCCTGGTGAAGACTCACCTTTATGCTAGGGATGGCCTGAAGCCTGGGTGCCAGGCTGCCAGTTGCTTGGAGCAGAGTGAAAATTATGGTGCCTTTTCCGGGCCCAGCCATGGCCGCCCATGGAACAATCAGCACACACTTCCTCCTCTTTGAAGCCCATAAAAGCCTGGACTCAGCCAGATTTGTAGAGACATTAGGACAACCTGCCTGTGGGGAGGAGCTACCCACTGTGGGTCTTCTCTCAGCTGAGAGCTGAACAGACATCTGGATGATCTGCCTGTTGAAAGAAGCTACCCACTTCAGGTCTCTGGAGAGCTGTACTGTAGCTCAATAAAACACCTCTTTGCCTTGCTCACCTTGCAGTTGCCCACGCACCTCATTCTTCCTGGAAACAAGACAAGTACTTGGGACCTGCTGAATGGCACAAACAGGGCTGAAACATGCCCCCCTAGTCAGCATGTTGTGAGCACGAGAAGAGGAGAAGAAAAAAGAGAGAAAAGAGGAGAGAAAAGTTGAGGCTCTTTGGGGAGTTCAGCTCTAAGAGTTCCCTGAGCCAGGGCTCTTACACGCTATTTGGCGTTCTGCAGTTCCTGGGATCTCCAAGCTGCTGGGTGACAAAGTGTTCCCTGGTGCCTGCAGTGGAAGCCACTTGCGGTACACCTGGTCCAGCCATAGCCTCGCAGGGAACCAGCACCTGTGCCAGCACCTGGAGCAGCCCGCCAGCCCCAGCCAGTGTGCCTTGTTGTACACAGTGGCCGGACCCTGGGATCGCTCGCTTACACACTCCTCACCGCTTCATGCCTGGCTCACCATTGGCAGGCATCGGATCTGAGCCAGTAGTACAAGCCGAGTGCAGACTGCCAGGCCAAGTGAGCAAATCAAGTCCAGTGGTCCTGAGCAAAACTTGGGCAAAGGCACCACCAGCCACAGAGATTTCTAGCTGGCAAAGCAACACCCTGAGGATCCTATGACATTTTGGGGGGCTCATCCAGGATCTGCAAAAGGGTGAGTAAAAGCAAACTTGCTGCTTTCTGTCCTTTTTTGGGGAATCCCTAAACTCCACTACAACCAAACTGAAAGAAAAATGCCATGCCTCTCTTGGCCAGTTGAAAGTGACTAGCATAGCTGCTGGACTTAAGACATGAGGACAGGCTTGCTGGGGAGGACACTGCCAATCCCCCATCACCCTTGGGTGTTGGGAATGTTGGCTTTGTTCCAATCCAGTTTCCCTTCATGGAGGTCTAGCCATCGTGTGGGATCAGAAGGAGGTCCTGGGGCAAATGAGGGTATCTGGCTGAGGCTATATCTCAGTGTTATCCAAAGGCCTCTGAACTAACTCCAGTCCCCGACTGCCTGTTAGGGTGTCAGCACTAGGACCTCCAGTCTTTCCTATCATTCTTTCTTTCTTTCAAGGTTGTCGTGGCTCCTATCTCTTCTTTATATACAATGATAAGGGTGTTGTTGCAAAGTACAGAGATAATAATACCGGGTAGAATAAGCACTTGGCTTGGTCATCAGAAGTGTAAATCAGAACAATGTGATGTCTATCTATTCTTAGAAGCAAGAAGGATGTAACAATTGAGAGTTTTCTTTCCCCTGTTGAAGGAACCCATTTGCACAGGGCAAAAGGTTTTTTCCCCAGGCACCTTCCCCACCCCTGAACTTAAATCATTCTTTTGGGAAGCATCTTGTTAGGCCAGGTCCCCAATTCCCAGGACTCCCTTTCTTTCCCTTGTTTGCAGAGGACCTGGTCCCACAGCTTCACCTATTCATAATAAGGAAGCAAGAGATGGGCTGCCCCACCAGTTTCTGGCTGCAATTTGGTGAGGCCACTAATTTAATGGGTCCATACACCCTCCTGAGGCATTTTTTTGTCCCAAGTTTAGTTTTGAGGCCCTAGAAAGAAAAACTAGATGTGAGAGATCCAAAGGCACATGACAGTGAAGTTTAGGGGGCACGGCGCAGGTGAGCATGACTAACTCCTGCCAACTAGGCCCTCCTGCATCGTGGATGGAGGTCATCCTCCTACCCATGGCATAGATAAGGTCTAGGGAATTTAAAGGTTACCAAAAGCAGGAGGATTAGGCACCATATAGGTGGGTGTGAATACTCCTGTTGGGTATGCCTCCCCACCTCATGGGTGAAGTCACACTTGCACACATGGTCAACACCTGCAAAGATCACGGGGATTTAGGGATATAAGGTCAGAAGAAAGAAAGGGATGCCCTTTTTTCTTAGCCTCACCTACCCTGGGTATTTGCTGGAAAGAGAAAGGAACAAAGGGATGCTTTTTACCCCTCTTTCCTGATGGGTAACCAACCATCTTCAACCTGCACTCCTCTTGACTGCATCCTGAATCACTGAGACCCCTTTGACCCTCAGACTCTGGAGAGAAGAAAAATCACCTTTTCCTCCTCTGTTCTCTCTTCCAGAAGGGTAAACAACCATCTTTAACCTATACTCCTCTAGAGTGTATCTTGAATTCCTGGGACTCCTTAATACTCAGACTCTGGAGAAAATCTGCCTTATATTCCTTTGCACTAAGGTGTGGCTGAATTATGTTCTGCAGGCAGAAGCATGGCCTCAGAAATGAAGTATTAATTTTAATACCATTCTGAAGCTGGAACTTTTCTGTAGACATGAGAGCAAATGGTTTGAAGTCCCACATGTGCAGACTTTCTTTGCCTTGCAGGGAAGTTCGGACCTTTGCCAACATTGTAGGATTGATTCTGCCCTCCTGGTGGCAATTTCAGAAAAGGCTGCAAGGGGCAATCCCAGGGAAATAGAGAAGCAAACCCCAGAGGTACCTCCATTGGGGGAATCATCTCCTTCCACTTCCCTTATCCAGGTTCTCTCTAAGTTTGTTCCATCCTAGAAATCTTAGTTTTAGGCACTTTTGCCCCTACAACAGGCTGGCAAATATAGTCTCATTAAGGTCCAAATTTGCTTTTCTCTACGGAACTTAAGGCAGATTAAGAGAGATCTTGGCAAGTTTTCAAATGACCCTGACATTTGCATATAGAGGCTTTCCAGAATTTAACCCAAGTATTTTAACTCTCCTGGAAGAACATTATGTTACTTTTGAATCAGATCCTGACTACTGTGGAAAAGCAGGCCACCCAGAAAGCAGCAGATAATTTGGGGGATAAGCTTTGTATGTCATAGAGTGCCAATCCAATTAGAAGAATAGTAGTATCATTGGAGGATAATAAATGGGACATCAATGATGAAATGGGAGAATGGAAGAGGAAACACTCTCAGGTGTGCATACTGGAGGGCTTATGAAGGACTAGAACTAAGCCTCTTAATTACTCCAAGCTAAACATGATAGAAAAGGGATTCAATGAGAAACCCACTGCCTTCCTGGAAATGCTAAAAGGGGTCTTGGTAAAGCATACCTCTCTATCTCTTGATTCAGTTGAAGGATAACTGAACCTGAAGGATAAGTTTATTACTCGGGCAGCCCCAGACATCAGAAGGAAGCTGCAAAAATAGGCTGTAGGACCAGATAGTACTTTAGAGAACCTCCTGAAATTGGCCACCATGGTCTTTCATAATAGGGATCAGGAGGAAATCCAAAAAAAAAAAAAAAAACATGAAACAAAAGAAAAGGCAGAGGCTCTAATGGACTCTTTGCAGGCTCACAAACCCCAGAGTCCCCTAGATGTACCTGTTAACTGCTACAAATGTGGCAAGCCAAGGCACTTCAGGAAAGACTGCCCAGGCAACATGAGAAAGCCACCTTGACCCTGTCCAGTAGGTAATGGAGACCACTGGAGGGAAGACTATCCCCAGAGACACAGGTCACCAGGTCCAGAGCTAGTCTCTCAAGTGGTCCAGCAGGACTCACACATCCCAGGGCTCCTCTACCTGGCTCTGGTGGTCCAGACCACCATTACATTCCAGGAACCCAGGGTGATTCTGAAAGTTGAAGGGAGGAAAGGGGACCTCCTCCTGGACACTGAAGTAGTCCTTTAAGTTCTCCACTCCAGTCCAGGCACTCCCTTCTCTCTTAGTGCTACCATAAGGGGTGTCTCAGGAAAGCCTTTAACCCAATAGTTTTCTCAACCCCTTAGTTGTAGTTGGCAGGACCTCTTGTTTACTCATGCTTTCTAATCATGCCTGAAAGCCCAACTCCTCTCTTGGGCAGGGATATTTTGGCTCACATGGGAACCACTATCTTTATGGCTCCAGGACAGACTCTTTGTCTCCCCATAGTAGAGACCAATATTAACACAGAAGTTTGGACTACTCCAGGGAAAATTGGCTGAGCCACAATTGCCACACTGGTCTCGGTCCACTTTAAGGATCTCACCTCCTTCTCTAACCAGAGACAATATCCTCTGAAACCAGAAGTTAGGAAATGACTAGAAGCCATCATTGATAACCTGAAGATTCAGGGCCTTCTCAAACCCTGTAACAACCCTTGTAATACCCTGATATTGGGGATACAAAAACCCAACAGGGAATGGAGACTGGTCTAGGACCTCTGCCTCATTAATGAGGCTGTGGTCCCTATTCATCTGGTGGTTCCCAATTCCTATAACCTGCTAACTGAAATACCTGAGGGAACTAAATGGTTCACAGTCCTGGATCTAAAAGATTCCTTTTTCCTTCCTACACCTCAACTCCCAGTATTTGTTTGCATTCAAGAATTCCTCCAACTAGGCCACCCAGTTAACCTGGACAGTGTTACCTCAGGAATTCTGAGACAGCCCCCACCTGTTTGAGAAGGTGTGTCAAAAGATCTCTCTGAGTTCCTTTATTCTCAGGTTAAAGTTTTACAATATGTATACATTATCCTTTATGTCCCAACTCTGATGAAATCTCTTAGGGAGGCAGTAAAGCTCTTAATTTTCTGGATAACAGGATATAAGGTCTCAAAATCTAAGGCTCAGCTCTGCCAGACTTTGGTGAAGTACCTAGGTCTAGTCTTGTCAGAGGGGACCCAGGCACTAGGTGAAGAAAGAATCAAGCCCATGTCCTTCTTTCCTTGCCTCAAAACCCTCAAGCAACTGAGGCATTCTTGGGCACTACAGTATTCTGCAGGTATAGATACATGGCACGGTGAAATACCAGATCCACTCCCTAACTTGGGAACCAGAGGCTAAAAGGGCCTTTGACCTATTAAAACAAATCTTGCTTGAGGTACCAGCCCTTAGACTTCCCAATGAGGAGATGTTCAATCTTTATGTCTCAGAAAGGAAGGCAATGGCCATGGGAGTTCCAACCCAGGCCCGAGGTCCAGCCCAGCACCCCATAGGGTACCTAAGGAAGGAGCTTGTTTTGACAGCTAAAGAATGGCCAGCCTGCCTCTTGGCAGTTGCAGTGGTAGCTTTGCAACCAGAGGTATTAAGTTAACCATGGGGAATAACTTAACAGTTTATGTGCCATATAATGTGGGAGGACTGCTGTCTTCTAAGGGGAGCCTCTGGCTAACAGACAACCACCTACTCAAATATCAAGCTCTGCTATTAGAGGGATCTGTAGTATAGTTAAGAAACTGTCTCTCCCTAAACTCAGCCACCTTCCTCCCAGACGAAGCTGGGGAGCTTGAACAGGACTGCGAACAGATAGTAGTGCAAACCTATGCAGCCGGAGAGGACCTCAAAAAAACCCCCTTAGAGAACCTGGACTGGACTCTCATTACAGACAGAAGTTCCTTTGTAGAGCAAGGGGTCCATAAGGCAGGGTATGCAATAGTCACCCTGAATGATGTTATTGAGAGTACGCCTCTCTCCTCAGGCACGAGTACTCAACTAGATGAGCTAATTGCCCTCATGAGGGCACTTGAATTAAACAAGGGGAAAGCAGTTAACATTTATACTTATTCTAAGCATGCTTTCCTAGTCCTCCATGTCTATGCTACTATCTGGAAAGAGACAAACTTCCTCACAGCCAATGGGTCTCTCATTAAGTGTCATCAGGAAATTAACAGATTATTATTCATGGTATTCTTTCCATGGAAAGTGGTAGTAATACACTGTAAAGGCCAGCAAAAGGGGATGCATAAAATAGCTGAAAGAAATAAGTTGGCAGACCAAGCAGCCAAATTGGCAGCAAGAGGGCCTCATATATCTGATCCACTTGAAGCCCTCTGATCTGGGAGTACTCCATAAAAGAAATGAAACCTCAGTATTCCTCTGCAGAGATAGAATGGGCTGTATCTCAGGGATACACACTTCAGTCCTCAGGATGGCTGCAATTAGAGGAGAGCAAGCTTCATCTACCAGCTTCCAGCTGGGTTCCAGCTGGGTTCTTAAAAATCCTCCACCAAGCCTTTCACCTTGATAAAGATAAAACCTGTCAAGTGCTCAAAGGTTGTTCTCAGGTAAGAATCTGCTAAAAATGGTCAAACAGGTTGTTAATGCTTGTGAGACTTGCCTCAAAAATAATCCCCTCAGTCAATGGCGTGTCCCCCTGGAACCCAAAGGATGGGAGTCTACCTCGGGGAAGACTGGCAGATGGATTTCACCCATATGCCAAAGACAAGGGGCATCCAGTACCTCCTAGTATGGGTAGATACCTTCACTAACTGGGTAGATGCATTTCCATGATGAACAGAGAAAGGCTCTGAGGTGATAAAAGCACTAATTAATGAAATAATTCCTCACATTGGACTTCCCAAGTACCTTCAGAGCAATAATGGCCCCTTGTTCAAGGCAGCTGTCACCCAGCGGGTATAAAAGGCAATAAGCATACAATACTATCTTCACTGTGCTTGGAGACCACAATCCTCAGGAAAGGTAGAAAAGACAAATGAGATTATTAAAAGGCACCTCAGTAAACTGTCTCAAGATACTCATATTCCATGGATTACTCTTCTCTCCATAGCCCTACTATGTGTTAGAAACACCCTTTCAAAGCTGGATTTAAGTCCCTTCAAAATGGTGTAGACTTTTCTCACCAATGATTTCTTGCTAGACTGAAAAAGCTCTGATTTAATTAAGCATACAACTTATTTGGCCCATTTGCAACACAAACTGCAACAACTATCAGAGGCCCAATCGCATGAATAAGGCCACTTCTATTCAACCCAGGGGACTTAGCACTGGTAAAGGCACCTCCTTCCCTTTCTCTCTCTCTAGTCCCAGAATGGGGGTGAGGGCTTACTGTGTACTTCTTTCTACTCCTACAGCAGTAAAGGTCACTGAAATTGATTCTTGGATTCATTACACTTTAGTAAAAGACCAGGGAACTGACGGAATTTCCTCTGTTGACCCAAGAGAGCACCCGAAGTACCAGAGTAAAGAAATCAGGGATCTCAACTTAACAATCACAAAAGATAAGTACCAACAATCAACCCTCCATGGATACCCTACGCTTACTGTTACCGCTTTTGTTCTGTTCCTCACCATAAGGCATCTTTGTCAAGGCCCCTTTATTCTTGACCTCCCTACAGCCCTAAACAGTTATTTCTCCTTTAAAGCTTAGCTGCACCTATACAAGATTTAATTTCTTTCACAAAGGTGAAACGACTCTAGTGACAACATTGTTTTCAGAATGATTAGTCTATTTTACTTCTTATTTGTGTTATCTCCAGCACTAGATACTTTCTTTCACATATTTAACCTCCTTGTAAAATTATTTCTTCTCACCTAGAGGCCATCATGCTCCAAGTGGTCATACAACTGGAGCCTTGGATAATGGCTCCGTTTCTACCAGGGACCCTTACATAGGCCTCTGAGAGAGATGTGACTGCTGTTTTCCCCAAAACAATGTCCCTTGTCAGCACGAAGCAGTGAAGAGCAGCATCATCCCTATCCTCACAGCAGTTAGATGTACCTCTTCAGAAGGGGGATTGATAGCAACAGTGGCCTGTGTGGGGCAGCCACTGAGAAGATGCCAGCTGCGATGAGGGAAGTACAGCCAGGGCTGTACACTCCATGGAGCCAGCAGGAGCTAGGAACAGGCAAAAGCCCCACCCCTTCCAAGTTAGAGGGGCAGAGCCTCACCCTCCTTGGTAAAGATGCAGCCACCCAGCTGTGGCTGTGGACCCTGGCATCCATGCACTCTCTGGGAAGCCTCTCTGCTCTTGGAGGCTTGGAAGTGACCTTCCCACTGTCTGGCCTCTCCCCACACCTGGTGCCTGCTCTGATTTCGGAGCAAAGTTGTTGCCAAGCCTGACAACTGTTATGACCCAGCCAGGTGTGCACACACTCAGGGTGGTGCTGATATGCTAGCTCCCTGCTGCCTCAGCCTTCTTTGGACTTTCAGAGCTGATGAGCATGGGAGGGAGGCCAAGGGAAGGGTTGTGGGCAGCTCACACGAGCCTGCAGGCACTCCTCGGCAGAAACAGCCTGGGCACCATGAGCGTCATGAATGGCAGGTTGATGGAAGCAGGAGGAAGACAGGCTCCTGGGCAGAAAAGGGTGGATCCCCAGTGAAGCCCCACCTTGAATCTGGGAATAGCTTGAAACCTGGGAACTGGGCTGCCAGTTTTGTGAACTGGAGTGAAAATTTACTGTGCTTTTTCCAGGCCTGCCCATGGCCACCCATGAACCCATCAGCACTCACTTCCTCCCCTGTGAAGTCCATAAAAACCCCAGACTCAGCCAGACTCAAAGAAATGTTGGGACAGCCTGCCTGCAGAGGAGATACCCACTGTGGGTCTCCTCTTAGCTGGGAGCTAGGCAGACGTTGGGATGACCTGCCTGCAGAGAGGAGCTATCCACATTGGGTCTCCTTCCAGCTGAGAGCTGAGCAGATGTCAGGGTGACCTGCCTGTGGAGAGGAGCTATCCACTGTGGTTTCCCTCCTAGCTGAGAGCTGAACAGATGTTGGGACAATCTGCCTGCAGAAATGAGCTACCAACTTCAGGTCTCCTGAGAGGTGTAATGTAGCTCAATAAAGCACCTCTTTGCCTTGTCCACCCTCCAGTTGTCTGCATACCTCATTCTTCCTGGATGCAGGACAAGAACTCGGGACCTGCCTAATGGAGGGACCAAAAGAGCTGTAACACAAACAGGGTTGAAACACGTCCCTCCGCTCACCTTGTTGTAAACATGAGAAAGAAGACAAAAGAGAGAAGGAGAGAAGAGCTGCAGCCCTTCTCGCTTTCTCTCTTGTGGCCCAGTATCAAACTATACACTTGTAAAGAGCATTTATAATTAACAACAAAAATAGATTTTGATTCCCCAGGCAGACTTTCATTAAATTTGGTACCTAAATGATACAGAAAAAAAATTATTGACATAAGTGCCACAATGATTTGTCCATGTTATGTGTATGTGGAATTTATGAACGAAGATTTCAAGGGAGTGATAGTTAAAATTCTCATTCAGCAGTTGTCTACAGCTTAATACTACAGAAGTAGAAAACAATAGAAGAAAAGTGCTATATATATATATATATATATATATATATATATATATATATTCAATTCACCTAGAGAAAAAAAAAGCAGTCTGATAAATATGCTGACTCTCCCAGTTATGTTTCTCATTTCAAACTTAGAAAGATCCCTGGAGCTATCCTTGCAGCAGTTTTGCTATAGCAAGTACATATAAATAAGAACCTGCTCTCCACTCAAAACAATGCTTTGTGAATTATCCAAACATAAGATAAAATCATGGTTGTTATCCATTCTAAGAAAACATGTATGACAAGGCCTATTTTATTTAAATAATGCTTAACTTAAAATTGCTATAATCTGATATCCTAGAGTCCAGAAAACAATAATTTTTTAAAGGAGAAAAAGAAGGTGCTTGATATATTAGAATAAAAAGAATTTGCAAAGTATTTCACATAAGCAATAAACAATGCCCTCAGGGGAAGGGTGGTTTAACTAAAATGCATTTTGCTGTCATTCTATCTAGAGAAGTATGTCAAAATTACACACTGTTAGGAAACATATTCTACCTGAATTTGCCAAGGAAACAATAAAAAACCCTGAAAAATTAACTCTATAATATTTTAAAAGCAATTATTTAAAAATTATGCATAAGAAAATATTCTTTGTAATTATATGCAAATAAAACTGTTGAATATATCTTTTCTACAAATGTTATTTATTACCAAAAATATATCTAATTTTCATGTGTGTCAGCTGTTATGATCCATTAACGTTGTTTCACCTATCAGCCCAAAGTTGTTTTGACTTGGGTATTTTGTTAGGTGTTTGCTTGTTTTTAATACTGATGCTTATTACACACAACACAATATAAACCAAGATACAATGCAAGTTTTAGTTTTTAATCTGCCTGGAATTTATAGTCTAATATAACTAGTCACTTTACATATTTAGTCTATGTGACTTAATTAAATAAACAACACAATTTATTCAAAAACTACTATTGAGTCCATATTTAGACAGCCATATTCTTGGCTCTGAAAATACAATAGTACACAAAGCAGACAGAAATTCCTGCCCCTTCAGAGAATTTTTGCTATTTGATTTCAACAGCCAGAAAGGTAGCAGCTGAACTACTCAAGTTCTAGTAAGAGAATGCATTCTAGTAAATTTCATTCTTTTTTTTTTTTCCCCAGGAAGACCACAAGTAAATTTTCTCTCACGTATTTGGTGTCTACTTTTTGCACCACTACATATTTACACTCTGGTGTCACTATTTAGTTGAATATAATCAATTAACAGGTAGTTATTAAATAAATACAAAAAAGGACCATTTTCTCACAGCTAAGTCTTTCTGTTGAAAACAAAACTACACAGCAATACAGGGTTGTTAACTCTTGGACAACGTGCAGTTTTCAATCCCTGCAGAGTTGAAAATCCATGTATAACTTTTGACCAGCCAAAAATTTAACTACTAATAACCTACTGTTGATAGGAAGTTTTACTGATAATATAAGTAGCAGATCAACACACAGTTTGTATTTCATATGCATTATTGCTGTATTCTTACAATATAGTAAGCTAGAGAAAAGAAAATGTTAAGAAGAAAATCATAAGGAAGAGAAAATGTATTGAGTGGAAGTGGATCATCATAAAAGTCTTCATCCTCGTCATCTTCACATTAAGTAGGCTGAGAAGGAAGAGGAAGAGGAGAGGCCGGTATTGCTGTCTCAAGGATGGATAAGGTGGATAAGGTGGAAGGGGAAGCAGGAAAGGAAGGCACATTCCGCAAAAGTTGTATTGAGGAAAATCTGTACACAAGTGGACCCACATAGTTCCAACCCATGTTGTTCAAGGGTCAACTGTATTTATATTTTTCCTTAAGAGATTTCCTTTTACTTGAAACATAATCTAGCCAATATTATTTTATGACAAGTCACATTCCATCTCTTCTCCTCCCTCTTTCCCCTACATCTTCCTTTTCTCTGCTCCTTCCTTGCACTACCTTTTGGGCTGACCAAAATAAAAAGAATAAGTATCAAATTAATTATTAATCTTTGTTGAAAAAACAATGTTAGCTATATCAAGAATCTCTCTCAGGTTACGAGACATAGTTGATTAGTCTTTAGTTGTGTAATACTGACAGTAATTCAATGGGCTTCACTTTGCAAAATGATGAACAGTCATATAATCTACATAATGTCCATCCTCACTTTTAAGAAATTAAATAAAATATTCAATTATCTCCCCAAAGCTCAAATTCTTCTGGATTTTTAATATGTTAATTACAAACCAAAAAGAAATGTGCTAAGTGTACAGTTTTAATGGGTGATTGAAATAACACAAAGAACTCAAATATACTGGAGCTAATGCTTTTAGTTTGCTCACCACTTTCTATCATAGAACAGATTCTAAGTTGCCAAAAATACAAATTTTCTTCCCTCTGCCCTTTTCTATCCCACTTCATGTGAAGTGTTTGGTGAAAAGCAGGGAGTACAATTGCATAGGCTAATAGGGCCAAGATATTCAGAGCAATAAATAGCAAGACAAGTTGTTGGTATTTCATCCTGTTGGACCAATGTTCTCAATTCATAAACAAATGCTAAATTTCCAGAGAAGCTAATCCTGAGTAATATGTGTTGCTAGTTCAATGAGTTAAATAAAATGATATAGAAATACATAATCAAGTCAAGATATATAGCAACATTCTGTGCATTCAATCAAATATGACAAATGTAACTGTAATAACCCAATATTACCACAGGAATGTCATGCTATCTAATAGGGAAGAAGAGAACAAAAACAATGATAACATCATCAACAATATAAAACTTCTCTTAACTTCTTCTAGGCCTCTCTTCAAAAGGTTAGTTACTTGAAAGGACATTAATTTTTCATACTTTACTAACAGATTTTTAAATTCTTAAGAATGGCATTTCCTGCATTACAACACTCCCTTTTCTCAAGCCCCGCTAACTTTCCTGAATGGTATGGAAGTTATGTCTACATTTTACATCACTACAATATCAAGCAGTCACGTACATCTAAATAAGGCATGAGCATAATTTAATTCACACCCCAGGTTGAATGGAAGACTCCCAGTCCACAAAGATCTTGAAATAATCACTGCAATCACAAACCTCCACTTAAGTATTTGTTGAAATACCATTTCCAAAAAGCTATTGATCTCTTCCCAGAGAAAGTATCACTCTTTGAAGCGATATTTAATATGACTGGTTAATATTTAAATTCTTTGACATGAGAAATAATGTGTTATAGATCCATGAAGTTCCAGATTCTTGGTATGAAAACAATGTGAGTAGTTCCAATTTCATGAGGTGTGGCATGCAATGAGTTATAATGTATATCCTGAAGTTGAAGACCTAACAGTTCCTTCTCCAGGCTTGCTCCTTCAAGGCAAGGAACCCAAGTCTTTCTAATGCTTTTTCTATATAAAGTTACATGAATGACTAATCTGTAACTGTTTTTTTTTAATTGAGGGAAGATGTTTATCTGTGATGACTACTAGTCAGTGATCAGCTTCACGATGAATAACAAGTGTCAGTAAATACCATTTTGGAACTGTTATATTAGATTCCAATATAATAAATGTCATGCGTTCACTGTAAATTATGTTTGTTAAACATCAGAAATGAGACTTTAAGGGACATGTGTTCTTATTTTCAGTTAAAAGTTGGTTGAGAAATTATAGTTGCCCGTAATTTTTCACCCTTTTAATAAAGGTATTGTCGAAATACTATATGTACATAAAACATGAGTTTCTAATATTCAAATTTTGATATACAGACTATTTCTGTCTTGAATTATTGATGGCAAAATGTGTGACAAGAGAAAATAAAATGAGATATATTATTATCAGCAAATGTCCTTAATAATACTAACCTGCCATCATAGAATATGACATCACAGTAACTGCAGTATTGTCATTTACCATGGGAAGTGTAAATATTAACAAACAGAAACCAAAATGCATCCTTATCATATACTGGATGCTAAATACGCTGAAGAAATTTGAAACATGACATTTTTGACAAGTTGGCAAAAACCAACTATAAATAGTTATGAAACCAACTAAAAATAGCTATGAGAAAAATGACAACTTTGTAAAATTGTTATGGAGGTGGCACAGGGTCAATGCTTCAAACGTGTGGGTGCATTCTAGCTTCCCCCTTACTTATCTTCTTTCTTTGACATATTGAAAAAGAACAAAGAATGGCAGTAAGACATTATTAAAGCATGAAGAATGCTCTCTCTGGCCATAGTACTATATCGTGTTATGGATTGATCCTGGCTTTTAAAGTAACTTATTTTACCTCGGTGTGCCAAAATAATTCCATACCACTTCTGAATCTCAAAAGATAAAAGGAAGCAGGAAATTCCACACATTCTAGGAAGCAATTGAGTATTTTCTCTGTTAATAACTTTATAGTATTCTTTACCCCATTCCCCCTCAAGGCCAGCCAACCAACAGTTGTCCCAAAACACAAATTCACAAATTCTACACCCTACATAATATTTAATTATATTACCAGCATGCATACTCTAAAAAGTCATTAGAATGAAGTTTAATCTTCCCAAAGATTATATTTATATGTGTCTGTATTACTGTATTCTATGTTTATATAAACTATATGTATATGCGTGCATTCATTATAAAGTACCAATAACCTCCTCTGTTTTCTGAAATTTAAACCTCATGAAGGCAGGGGCTAAAACAGCATCTAGTATATTTGGTTTTGAATAAGTAATTTTGGATGAATTGCTCTCGCTTAATGACTTCAATCTTTATTAATGTATGAAAAATCATATTTTATATGCTTATAATAGAAATGAAGCCAATGAAAAATATAAAATATATTTTATCCTTTAGCAAACAAGTAATCCCACATGTTCTACTCTTATGCAGTAGTCCCCCTTATCCATGGCTTTGCTTTCCGCATTTTCAGTTACTCACATTCAACCACAGTCCAAAAATATTAAATGTAAAATTCCAGAAATAACCCCATTCTGAGTAGCATGATGAAATTTCCTGCTGTCCTGCTCTGTCCCACCCAGGATGTGAGTCTTCCCTTTGTTCAGTGTATCTACCTTGTCTATACTACCTGCCCATTAGTCACTTAGTAAACATCTTAGTTACCTAACTGACTGTGGTAGTATCTCAGTGCTTCTGTTCAAATAACCCTTATTTTACTTAATAATGGCCCCAATGCAGAAGAATAATGATGCTGGAAATTCAGATATACCAAAGAGAAGCTGTAAAGTGCTCCCTTTAAGTGAAAAGGTGAACTTTCTTGACTTACTAAGGAAACAAAAAAAATCATATGCTGAGGTTCCTAAGATCCATGGAAAGAACTAATCTTCTCTCCATAAAAGTGAATCTTATATTGTTATAACTTTTCTATTTTATTATTGTTGTTGTTAATCTCTTACTGTGCCTAATTAAGTTAAACATTATCATAGACATGGATGCCTAGGAAAAAATATGGTTTATATAGGGTTGGAACTATCAGCATTTTCAGACATCTACTGGGGGACTTACATCCACTGGGGGTCTTAGAATGTATCCCTGAGGATAAGGGGCTATTACTGTATTTGGGTAAGAACTGAGACCTTGTGCAGCAATACCACTTAACTAGACCAAGGACCGGCACTCTCTCTGTCAGCATAATCCTCTCCCAGTAATTCCCTCCCAGGAGGATAAAATTACTTGCCAATAAATAATTCACTGTTTGCTTCTGGAAAGATATGTTAAATATTTCTGGGTAAACACTGATTTTATATGGGCTAACAGATTACTTATCAGGAGAACTATTTGTTTACATGAACCAAGGGCTCACTTATCAGCACATCGTCAAAACTTGCCTCAATTCTTGCTTTCCTGTGTCTACCAATTCTTAACTATTAGATGACAAAATTCCCACAACCTAATCAAGTTCTCCAATTTAACTCAATTTTCTCCAAAACACTTAATACCATTTGATCCCAGATACTCAAATTTATAAATCTCTTTCCTCAACTTCTCCTCTTGAGGCACTCTGAAAACTCTGTGGAACTAGAGTTTTCCCTGTTGCCGTAAGTTTAATAAATTGAGCTTTACTTGATCAATAGGTTTTTCTGGTGGTCCTTGGGGACCGTAGACAATCCTAGAGTTCACCAGTAAAAGTCATTGATTGCCATGGATTAGTGCCCTCAACTTGTAAGCAGGGAGTTCTCCTGAGGCCACATCAGGCCTCCTCAGGGGTTTCTCTGACTGTGACAGTGAGGGAGATCCTGTATTAAGTCTGATGTCTCATTTTTTTGTTGAGTTTCCAATTTATTTTAGCTCTTAAGAATGATGACCCCCCTCGTTGTGAGAACTTTTGATTGTCTGATCAGAATTTAAGACTCCCCTTTGGTGGAAATCTGCCTTGTTACTAAAAAAAAACTGCTGTTCTTCTTGATTGTGTTCATCTTTTTCTTTTGTGAGTAATATAGAGATTAGTTCATAGGGCCGAGAGTAGACAGAGGTTCCACAGGACTGAAATGTGTGCCATCCCACAGGACTAACAAGTAAATTGTCTTGTTAAATAACAGTCATACAGGACAAACTTTGCCTTAGGGCAACTATCCAAAACTTATGAGAACTTTCCTTAGCTAGTCTTCCTTTATTCAGAACAGTTTAATTGTAGATATATCACATCTATAATCATTCATCCATCAGAGATTAGTTATTTCTTGTGTTTTCTATTAAACACAGCCAACTATTATGTTCAGGAGCACAGACACGAGGTACTTGTGGACCCTCCCACGTTTGTCTCTTACATGCAATACATTCACACTATAAGTCAATTCAAGTGCTATCATTCTAAATGGCATAGTAGCAACACAGATAATTGCTATAGACTGAATCGTGTCACCACCCCCAAATTCTTATGTTGAAGTGTTAACCCCCAATGTGATGGTATTTGGACACAGGGCTCTTGGAAGATAATCAGGTGTAGACAAGGTCACAAAGTTGGGGCTCTTATGGTGGAATTAGTGCCCTTAAAAAAAAGACCCCAGAGAGATTGTTCTTTCTTTCCCCCACCATATGAAGACACAGCAAAAAGGTGGCCATCTACAAGCCAGGAAGACAGCCTTTAGCAGCAATGGACCATGCTGGCACCTTGATCTTAAAATTCTAATCTTCAGAATTGTGAGAAAATAAATATCTATTGTTTAGGCCACTTAGTCTATGCTATTTTGTTATGGCAAGATGAACTAAAAACGACAATAATATAGGCAACTTTGGGGAAGTTTAACACAAGCAGAGAGAGGAAAATTCCAAGTATTCAGGTGTCTAGATTTTCTTGCGTGAGGAAGCCGCCAAAAGAAACTCTGATTCTAAAATTATCTTCTTAAAGGATTGCTTGGCTAAGTTGAAAAATTTCAAACCATCTCTTTCAGATCCTCCCAAAACACCACTTAAATCTAACTAATGGCCTTTATGCCATTGTTTGTCTTCCCTCGTCCCTTGTGCATTCATTACCTTGCACTGCTATCTTTTCTAACCCTACTATCTTTTTTTTTTCTAGTCAGAAGAAAATCCTCGAAGCTAAATTGGCTCTTAAAGTTAAAGCTCTCTGAGAATAGGGCAAGTGTCTTCTTTTAAGGAACTTAAATTTTAAGCCCTGGTCTTGTTATGAGCTAAGAGCGATTATTTAAGACTTTCTGAAGCTCAGACAGAATAGAAAGATATTCACAGAGAAATTTAAAATATTTAAACTCAAAATAAACATGAGTCGCTTGTGTTAAAAATCTTGATAAACTGAGCTGGGGAAAGTCGTCAAGGAAGAGTTCTCATGCACAAATAGGTAATAAAAAGAACTGTCACAAAAAACTGCAAAACCCACAGCACTGCACAAAGCCTACCCTACCCTTACACAAAACAATAATTCTGCAAGAACATTTGCCCACCAACTGCCTGTCCAACCTTTGACTGGAGTTATGTTTGCTATTGATTCTTGTAGCCAAGGATAATTATCTCAAAACAATTATGTAATCCTCCTAAGCCATTGCCTTTCTTTACCTCCCTGAATACATACACAGCTTACTATGGCATACGTTTCTCATGTCAGTGTCCATTCCTGAATAAGTATCATTGGCTTTTAGAGAGTCTCTCTTTGTCTTTTATTTAGTTAGACAGAATAGAAACATGTTTACACAGAAATTTAAAATATTCCTATGGACTGGATGCAGTGGCTCATAACTGTAACCCCAATATTTTGGGAAGTGGAGACAGGAGGATTCCTTGAGCCCAGGCATTTAAGACCAGCCTGGGCAACTAACCAAGATGCTGTCTCTACAAAAAGTAAAAAAAACTAGCCAGGCATAGTGGCACACTACTGTAGCCCCAGCTACTCAGGAGGTTGAGGTGGGATGATTACTTGAGCCCAGGAGCTCAAGGCTGCAGTGAGCTATGATCACGCCACTGTACTCCATCCAGCCTAGGTGACAAAGCAAGATTCTGTCTAAAAAAAAAAATAAAATAACAAAACATTACTAGGAAGATATAATCCAGTACTCCTGGGTCTATATCAATTGTTTCATAGGCTATACACTCAGGAAAAGAAAAATAATTGTTTTAACAAATAAAAAAGATCTTGAGGGTGACATAAAATACTCCAAGTTGCATAGAACAAAAAGTAAAAGGTTTAGAACATCTGGACTCTGAAAGAAGATGTTTTGGAGGCTATCCCCAAACTCATTCCTGTGAACACAAACTGCACTCTAATCCAGTCCAGCAAGCAAAGAAAGGATTAGTCTATTGAAGACTTTAGGGATAGATTCTTCTATATTAGATAGCAAGCAGAGGTAAATACTGAAGCAGAAGTTACTCCAGTTTGTCCTGTACTTTTTTCAGTAAATGTCTTTAAGCCAGAATTAGGATATATAGAAGCAAAATATCTAAGGGGACAATTTGGAAAAGCCTTGGCAGAGAGCAGAATGAGACTCAGAATAAACTGATTTCTAACTCCAATCAACAAAGATTAGGGTAGGGATATATTAGAAGTATAGTCTTTTGCAAATGAGTTAAAAGAATGTTTTATAGTTACTAAAAATAGTATTTTAAGATATATTCTTTCAAAGTTTATAACAACAATAACCTAAATGATATAGAAATAAAATTAGAAATGCGTGTGTTTACTACTAAGGCTGGTTTTTTTTGTTTGTTTGTTTTTGTTTTGTTTTGTTTTCCTTTTGGAGAAGGAATCTTGCTCTGTCACACGGGCTAGAGTGCAGTGGTGTGATCTCAGCTCACTACAACCTCCGCCTCCCGGGCTCCAGTGACTCTCCTGCCTCAGCACTCCCGAGTAGCTGGGACCACAGGTGCCCACGACTGACTAATTTTCGTATTTTTTATTAGTGACGGGGTTTCACCATCTTGGTCAAGCCTGTCTCAAACTCCTGACCTCGTGATCTACCTGCCTCAGCCTCCCAAAGTGCTGGGATTACAGGTGTGAGCCACCGTGCCCAGCCAAGGCTTTTTAAAAAAATGAATAATAGCATAATAGCATGCCAGTTTTAAAAAATCACAAATAGTATAAAAAGTGCTGTTTCTCATTTCCAATATGCTTATATAGATCAATTAATTATTTCACTATCTGCACTGTGCCAAATAAGAATGTAATTTTTCTAATGATTCAGAATCAAAGGGCAATCAAGTTCTCTGACAGAAAGTAGATAGATAGATAGATAGATAGATAGATAGATAGAAGATATCAAAAGAATCTATAAATTCTTTAATGACATCATCAGTTTTGATTAATGTCAAGGATGCTGATCTACCATGACATATCCTGTTTTCCTTCAATAAATCTTTGTGTATGTATGTATCTACATTTTTTAGATTAGACTTTATGATTATGTCAGTAAAACAGTTTCACAAGTATGTTGTCTAAGTGCATGATTTAGCATTTCCTTTACTTTTTCTAAATTTGTCTCTTTTCATTATTGCCCTACTATAGTACTAATCAGGTTTTGTTTTGTTTTGTTTTTTTGGTAAATCACCTTAACAATGTTATTTATAATCCTGTTCTCTTATAGTATACAGAAATTCACCAATATTTGGCAGCATAAGAACACAAGTGAAACTATAAAATAATGAATGAATTAGCCTTTGAAAGGATCTTAGTCAAAATGTGATGACCCTTAAAATAAAATTACTCCATTAATTGTTTTACCCTATTAATAGCAATGAATCTCTTAATTTATATATCTTGCCCCAAAAGCATTGCTATCTATATTGTTAACCATAAGATTTATACTTCTAAAGTTGTGCAAAGATCAAGTCTGGTTTCTTAAGAGAAACAAAAAATGCCACTGCCTTAGTAATAACATCAATGATATAACACCTGAAATGTATTGACTTTTCTGTATCAAGTATAGCAATAAGCTTTTTCAATGTGCTATTTCTTTAATTTCACAATAACTTTATCAGAAAAATATTATTATTATTGCATTTTACAGAACTGTGGAGATGTAGATAAAATGTTCACACAGCTACTAAGTGGTAAACCCAGCACTTTAAACCAAGCCTCTCTTATCTCAAAGTCCATATTTTTAACTATTGTTGATAAAAACTCAGATCATAATTAGCCAAAAAGAATAAACATGAAATCACCTCTGGCTATTCAGTTCTCAAGGATCATTTCATGTATACTAATATTATTAATATAATTTCATTTCTAGTAATTATGTACCCAAGTAGTCAGTATATCATAATTTTTCAGGTTTGAATCATATTAGTACATTGGAACTACTATGATGAGATACAAATGAAGAGGTTGCTTGCCTCAGTGTTCTGGGATGTCTCTCTGCTATGTTCTGGTATGTTCTGGTAGGTACCAACCAAACAACATGAAATGACTATGCTGACCACATTATATGCATTATCTGGAACCTTCCCAAAACCAGGAAATTTTGTTTTCTTATCCTCATTATACAGAAAAGAAAGCAAAATGGATTCAGAGATATTAATCAATTTTTAAAGACATCCAACTAGTAAGTAAAAAGGGAAATCTAAATTTAAGTTTTTTGCTTCCACTATTTGTATTCCTATCTCATCATATTATCTCTGTCTACATTTAGCAATGACAATTATCACTCAAAAGATAAAAACATGTATCTAAATAAAAATATATTGTTCACTATAGATTATATATGTACACTAAAACACCTATATCTGTGTGTATATATATATGTGTGTGTGTGCGCGCGCATGTGTGCATGTGTGCGTATGTGTGCATGTGTGCGTGTGTGTTTTAATTATAAATTAAATCTTCAAATCTAACATAAAATAAAAATGAGTACTTGTTTCTCTTCCTGTTTCTAATTTTAAGGGTATTCATCTTTATGAAATAATATTCTCGTCCGGGGGCGGTGGCTCACGCCTGAAATCCCAGCACTTTGGGAGGCTGAGGCAGGTGGATCACAAGGTCAGGAGATTGAGACCATCCTGGCTAACACGGTGAAACCCTAACTCTACTAAAAATACAAAAAAATTAGCCAGGCGTGGTGGCGGGTGCCAGCACTCGGGAGGCTGTAGTCCCAGCTACTCGGGAGGCTGAGGCAGGAGAATGGCGTGAACCCGGGAGGAAGAGCTTGCAGTGAGCTGAGATTGCGCCACTGCACTCCAGCCTGGGCGACAGAGTGAGACTCCGTCTCAAAAAAAAAAAAAAGGAACTAATATTCTCCATGATTACAAATGCTAATATAATACATATATGTGTACATATATTACTAATATGCATATATGCATAATTATATGTCATATACTCTTACATCATTCTATAGATGTGTATATAATTGTGTCAGATGAATCAATTTTTTGTGATATAAACATAGTAGACTAAAAGAAAATCGGATTCTTATAAACATATCTGAGTTTAACTGCTTATATAACTTTAAGTCTCAATTTCTTCACTTAATACACTGAAAACTAAAATTTAGATGATTT